>NC_000009.12:67754406-67920552 GCF_000001405.40 Homo sapiens
AGGCAAGTGCTGTCTTTGTTCAGGGTCCAGTCTTTGGATATTAATCTGCTGGTTCTGAGTGCACTCAATAAAAATCCTTCTGTTTCACCTACCAATCTCTCCAGTCTCCTGATTCCCACAACAACCTGATCGATCTCTTACACTGTGGCTCCTCGAGATTTGGAGTCCACTGTGCTGGGGATAGCAAACTGCAGTACCTGCAGCAAAGTACTAGTGGATATAGGGGTGTCTGCCTCTCTGCAGGTGTTCACCACAGTATTGGAGGCAAGGCAGCTGTTGGGGGAGCAAGGGCCTTCTGCTGGAGACAGAGTGCACTGCTGCACTGTAGGTGGTGATGGCTTGGGGTGGGGTGCTGGCCAGTGGAGGTCTTGGCGCCTTATCTGTGGTCTGCAAGCAGGAGCAATTGCTCAGGTTGTGGGGGGATCCCCTGCTCTGTGTGCAGCACAGCACAAGGGCAGGGCACTGGTGTAGATGGGGCTTGATGACTCTGTGCCCAACAAGGATCCATCTGCAGTGGTGGTTGGTGGGGATTATGGGGGGCACACTGCATTCCCATGTGCTGTTGAAGCAAGTAAAGCCCACCCATGCAGATATATGCCAGCAAAGTGATGTGGGGAGTTGCTGTCTCATATCATTTTTAATAAATCTTCTGATATTGTCTCAAATCTTGGAAACCTATGTCAGCTCAAAAAGACATCCTTGTATAAAACTGAAATGCTTCTACCTTTAAAATGTATATGTGATAGATTATTTATTCATAGTAGCTGAATTTAATGCAATTAATGTTGTAATGAATACAGGACATATTAATATGCTAAGAGTAGACTACTTAAATGTTTGCATTTTCAGTAACTCAAATATAAGCATGTCTATACATGAACTAAAACAGAATTTTGCCCAAATCACTCAAAAAATTAGTTAAATTAAATATGTTTAAAATATACTTAAATACTTTGTATATAATAGATTGTTAAGTAATTAAAATAATTTACATGTTTTATTTAGGTGTCCTCAACTTTAAAAATATATATCTACATATAATTTACATTATATTACTGACCACATGGCTAAATATGATAGTTTGGCAGAAATCAATTCATATTAATTATGAAAGACCTACTTTTGGTAAAAATATTTCTCAAGTTTGATATCAATTCTGACTCTATTATTGACATTGATGTTAAATGTAAACCTCTGTTTTTGTCTAAAATTTGATGCTACAAAATATTTCTGTTGTCCATATTCTTCCAGGGACAGAATATCATGAATTAGCATTTTTTTTTTACTTATATATCACAATATCACATACTCAGAAAGCTGTTTTGATAAAATACAACTTTATCAGTCATTGCCCAATACTGCAATTATATGTCACAAATGTATCTGTATAATGAAACGTAACATATGCAAATTTTTTTTGCTGATTATAATTAATGAATCAACCAAATGAGAAAAAAACTCTCAATTCGATATTGACTTAAATTTTCCAATTTACTAAAAGTGTTGGTAATATTTGTTTTAAATATTTAAATGTTTGAATCATATGAATATGTGAAATGAATAAATATTAACGGTATCTTTTACAAGCAGACACTTCAACATTTTGGAGAGGTAAGTGCATACATATTTTTTGTGTGTTCATTCACGTATAAACAATCTGTGATTAACTTTGATCATACTCCTAAAAAGACTAGGATTTTTTTCTGTTTTGTTTATTTTTATATAAAATTTACATAAAATAGGGTGAACAAATTTAAGTAATATTTATAAGTTTTGACAAATGCATATACATATATAATTAAAATATAGTAACGTTTACTATTATGTTGTAGTAACCATCATACCACAAAGTCCACTCATGTTCTTTCTCATTTAACTGCATCTCCATTCCCAAGGCAACAACTATTCTATTTACAATAGAATAGTTTTTGTCTTCCAGAAATTCATATGAATGGAACCATACAACATGTACTTTTGTGTACAGATTAGTTAAAATAATGTTTTTGATATTCATAAATGCTGTTGCATATATAAATAGTTGGTCTCTTTCAATAGGTAGGTGGTATTTTCTTGTGTGAATATACCAGATTTTTTTCTATTTGTTGTTGAACACATCAGCTTTACTATTTTGGGGTAATTAAAAGTTAATTCATTATTACAATTCTTATTCAAGTCTTTCTGTGGAGAAGAGTTTTTACTCCTTTTGAATAAGTGCCTAGGAGTGACTTGATTATAGGGAAGTTGGGTGGATGAATAATTACTTTTATAGAAAACAGCCAAATTGGTTTTCAAATAGTTGCAAATTTATTTAATTTAAATTGTCATTTTGTAAAAGTATTTTTAAACATATTTTTCTTTGGTAGGTTACATGTGACAGTACATGTATAGTAGTTGAATATCTGCTGACATCTTTATTTTTACAAAAATAAATTCTACTTTCATTCAAGTGCACAAATATGACCCAATAAATTTTCCTAATATCTCTTTCTAGTTAATACCTCTCATTAATGAAGCAACCACTTTTCTCATATCTGCACAGTAGTTGTATCTGTTTTTGGAATTAAAACAGTGTGCACTAATTTCTGCCTGGCATCTTTTGGTTCAACATGTGTTTGAGATTAATTGTGTCATTGTGCGTATCAAAAGCTCATTATTTGTTAATTGGTGAAAGGTAATCTCTCTTGTGTGATTATGTCACACAATGTTTATCCACTTTTCTTTGATAGACATTTAGAATTTTTCAAATTTTTGACTATCTTAAATAAAGTTTCCATATACATGTTTATACAACTTATGTTTGGTTATGTTTTTTCTGATCGAGGGCCTGTAAACACCTTATAATGGAGTTCTTTGTCATAGTATAGGTGTATGCTTAACATTATGAGAAAATAAGACATTTCCAAAGAGTTTTCAGAAGTTTTTAAAACATTTTACATTTCTACCATCAAGGTATGAGAGTTCCAGTAGCTCTAAATCCTTACAAAACTTTGTGCTGCCAGTCTCTGTGAATCTGTTAAAGAAATTTTAACCTAACTACAGTTTAATATAATGGAAGTTTTTGTTAATGTTATCTTTGTGAGTGCTGGATATTTTGTATTTCTGTACAAAATATGAGCTTTTTCTCTAGGACACAGTTAATTTGTTCAAAACCGCTTGATCCTTTTAGATACTTCTTTTATGATTTTTTGATGCATTCAACTCAGTACTCAGTTTAAATCTAATTAATTTCTACCCCTGAGGCAAGACCTTTTAAATTGCTTTACCAAATGCACTGTGAATTGAGCTTTTTTCTTTCATTTGGCTGGCAAATACAGGTATAATCCAGGTCATATGTGAATGTCAGGCACTGGTTTTTGTTGTTGTTATTGTTTGTTTGTTTTTAATCTTTGAAGATGCTTGTTTCCCTGGCAGTGAGCAGATTACTCACATGTATACACTAATCAGTATTCTGCTAAGCACTGAAAGGAGAACATCTGTAGATATCAGAGATTTCTCTCTTTGAATCTCTAGCTTCTCAGACCTAGAAACTCTAGTTACCTTAGTCTCCTGGAACTCTTGGCTTTGTACAACTCTAGGAGCCCACTTTCTCTGCCCCACTGCTGGAAACTCTAGCCACTAAATTAGGGCAGTAGCAGGGTTTAACTCCTTTGTTTTCTGTCTTTCGGGAAGTACTTCATTCCCTCATATCCAGAGTCTTGTATTTCTGTGGGTGTTTCCTTGATTTTGTTTTTCAAGCAAGAAGATAAATCTAGCCTTCGGGTAGTCTTTCTTTAATAATTAGTGAGGGGTACTATTATACCTCATTACATATTTGTGTTTCTTCATTCAAAATATTTCTGTTCAGAGTAAATCCTGACATCAGAAGCAAGATATTCTGAACTATTTTGGGGTATTTTGAATTCAGGAACATTTCAAAACGGAGCAGCAGGCATGTTGATGGTATTTAACAATGTCATGTCTCTTATTCTCTGAATATTGTCGAAGTGTGAAATTCTCTTAAGAGTCACTTGAGAGCATAACAAAGCTAAGAGGTGGGCAATAAATATTAAATGTTCAAACTTGCCCTCTTCACATATTTAAACATAGCCTTTCTTTTCAGCTACTTCTAACACTCTTTTTAGAGTAAGTCATTAACTAGGAGGAATAACATCTTTGAAAAAGTGAAGCAGTGTAGGATAATGTTTCCCTTATGTTAAGTGTATCTGTTAGGTTTTCTGGTGTATTTTCAGTAGACTTCAATTAAAATATGTAAATAAAATGTTGTATAGCATCTTTCAAATATAGAATTCTGTTTTAATAAACATGTTTATCCAAACATATCATGAAGTAATTATTATAATTACGGCTGATATATCTTTGCTTTATTTAATAAAATGATTAATAACATTAACTTTCTGTTTTCAAAATTTAAAATATTATATGTTAGCAGAGAGAACAATTTATAGCGATATGTACATTTTTTTCCATTAAGTACACTGGTATAGTTTAATAATAATGCCTAATAAGATCAATGGAATTATTTCTTGTTCATTTATATGTCGTTTACCTAATTATTCTCAAACTCAGAATGCAAAGGGAAATCAGTTATGTTACTATGCCTTTGTCATAACTATTGCCTCATAAATAGCATGCATTTAGATACACGCTTCATACTATTGCAATTCAAATACTGTGAAATACCAACTCAATTTACCGTTGTTTTGTAATTTTTTGGAAATGAAAAATTTCTTATCCACCTAAATGTAATCTTAACTAGAATGCTTTGGTAAACTTTCTTAACAAATTTTTCTTCATTATACTTACATGTATTTTGTGATATAATACAATGTACGTACAGTTTCAGTTATATCAGTTTTTAAGAAGATTTGTATTTTCCCCCCGATGTAATGAAAATTGATTTGGCAGTGACTACTAGCATTACAAAGGTGGTTGGCATTTTAATAACTTGAATGAGAAAATCTGCAGCTCCATGTCAGTGTGTAGCAACACAAATACATTTTATCAAAAAAGAAAATAATTTGCCTGAACAGTTAACTGAAGTTAACATTATTTTTATTTTTAATCTTCAAGATTAAATCCGGATAAACAATACCACTATACTAAAAACATAATCAACATACTTGATAGTTTTATATATTAGGTAATAGATTTTTGATGTGAATACCTAAAATGGAAAAAAGTGAGTATTTTTAATTCTTGGATTATAAAGCCTTTATAAGATAAATGATTTCAAATTACTTCCTTCAAGTGTAGCACAAATTTTGAACTTTATCAATTTATTTCCTTTATCTACAGAGGTGATCAAACTCTTGATTTTTTGGTTTAATCTTTACTGCAGGCTTATAGATTATATTATTTTTCTCAATTATTAAGTCTCCACCTGCATCAAAAAATGATGCATATCTACTTCTGTCAGGTAACGGCAGATAATATTAATAGATATATAAATATTTTATAAAATCTTCTTAAAGGAAGAAAATGGTAAGTATGTAAGGAATTACTTGATCAAAAATCACTTTGGGAGGTTGAGGTGGGTGTATCACGAGGTCAGAAGTTTGAGACCAGCCTGGCCAACATAGTGAAACCCCATGTCTACTAAAAATACAAAAATTTGCTGGGCATGGTGGTGAATGCCTATAGTCGCAGCTACTTGGGAGGCTGAGGCAGGAGAATAGCTTGAACCCAGGAAGTAGAGGTTGTGGTGAGCCAAGATCACACCAATGCACTCCAGCCTGGGCAACAGAGCAAGACTCTGTCTCAAAAAAAAAAGAAAGTATGAGAATTAATTAGGGCTAAAGTATCTGATATTTTTCGAGAAGGTTGTTTGATCCAGAAGAAACTCAATGGTGGATAAGTGAGAAGGCAGTAGTAGAAATGTCAGGCAAAAATGGGAAGTTTTCTTGGAAATCCACTTCCTAAAACCTGTGCTATTGTTTTGAAGGCCTGAAATATCAGAGTATGTTTAAAGCAAACGATTACTGACCCTTGTCCCTCCACTTCCGGGAAAATGTGTGGATTGCTGTCCTGAAAATGAATAAACCAGGTTAAATAGTAGAAATGGGAAAAGTTGTGGTTTTGAAGGATAGTCCACAGGCTGGCTGTCACAGCAGGAAGCTACTAATTTAATTTATATCGTTCTTAAAGTAATCTACAGAGATAACTAGTAAAGATAAAGAAAATGATTCTATATAGGAAGTCATCATTCCAGGATTTGAGGAATCCTTCCAAGTAATTTTGGCAGAAGCAGTAAGCATCATGCTTTCAAAGCTAATAAAGAATGCAAGGAAACAGGACACATTTTGCAATAAGTAGCAGGAAAAATAATGAAAAAAGTCACAAAAATTGCAGATCTGGTATTATTACAGACACATTGAAAAACATGTATTTGTATTATGTTCTAAGAAGTAAATTTGAAAATATCTGCCAAATGAAAACAATACAATGTAATCTTTCAGTTTTAACATGAAACTAATAACAAATTTTAAAGATAAATGATATTATGACTAAAATTAAACATTAGGAGCATGAGTATGATAATATTTTGGACATAGCAAAAGAGCTAGATCACTGGAAGCTAAATCAGAAAAGCAAATGAGCACAGTTCAATACAGTGAGATGAAAAAATGGAAATGTAGAAGAGTGGTTATCACAAATAATGAGTTGTGTGAGGTGATATATTTAAATAGAGAGCTAGAATAAAATAAATGGAGCAGATAAATATGTGAATACTTAATGGTTTAAACTTTCCAAAATGATGAAAGATACACGTGTCCATTCAAGAAACACAGTAAATTTCAAGGAAAAAATAACCACTGAATTAACACTTAACAATAAATCTGATGTGAGAGAAAGAGAGAAAATGAGAGCTGGAAAGACAGAGAGTGACAGAGAAAAAGAAATCCTTAAAACAACCATAGGGGAAAAAGAAAACACTTTAAAATGTGGCAGCCGTACTACTTATTAAGAGCAACATAGTAACCTAAATACGTTTTATAATTTACTTCCTTTCATCACACTAAAGATATCTTGATTTACAATCTTGATTTTTAAACCCAATATATAAATCCTTAATTTATGAACACCTGATACTCACCAAGGAAACCCTAAAAGACAGAAGAGCCAAAATGGCCATCAAGACAGAGTCAGGAAGATCCTCCACTGAAAGAGCTGACTATCAAGAAAACCAGCACACTCTGAGCAGATCTTCAAAAGGAAAGCATTGAGAGTGGAAGGAGAGAGGATGGAGACACTGGGCTAAAGGATCAGAAAGCTGGGAACCCAGCATGGGGTTGTGGAGCACCAGGACTCATTCCTGGCCCTGAAAGGTGAGGGAGGGGGTGAGTTAAATACGATGGAGTGGCTTACTCTTTCCAAAGAGCTCCAGAATCCTAGCTTTAGGAGACTTCACAATCCCCATGGACATTCGAGCTAGCAAGGAGAGTTGCTTGGAGAAGTAGCAAAGACAGGATTCCAGTATGTGTAGAGCCCAGATAGTTTGACATAAGAATGGTTCCAGTGAAGCACAGCCAGGGACACCCATTTCCTAAGGCTTACCACACGCCTCTGAGTGACTTAGGTCATTATTGATTGTCAGACCTGCACAGAGAAGGGCTGTCTTGCCCATGGGATATGCCAGTGTGATTAGATGCTCTCCTGTCGACTGGACTCTCCTGGGGTCCCCGCCAGGCCATACCCTCTTGGAGGGCAGCTTTGCATGCCCAACGAGGGTGCTTCTCAGTGGCCATCACCATAGCAGCAGACTCTACTCTGCTCTCATTGGAGAGCTTCTGCAAATATACCTCCAACAGTGCACACCTACTTACAGTCCCCCCTCACTGCATTGCCGGCATGCACTGTGCACAGTCTCCAATCACTGTTTCGCCAGTGTGCACATATGCAGAGTCCTCACTGCAACTGCATGGGCCCCACTGGTGTGTGTGTATAAACCCTGACAACCTGCCACTGCCAGGGTGAGTATGAGTATAACATGCCACACTGCACCCCTGCTGCAGCTGGTGCACATGTGCGTAAGCATGGACCCCTCAGCAAATGCTCCAATGAAGCACTTTTGTTGGCATCCCCCGTTGGACTGTTGTTGCCAGTGGACTGAGAATGCTGTGGCCCTGTCAGTGCAGCAGGTACTTCATCTTGAGGGGGCATATAACAAAGCTGTGGGCCAGGTCCCAATCCCCCCAGTGTTAGAGCACACATCCCAGGAGAGCTGAGCTGAGCCTTGGCCACCTGAAATCATCCAGAGATGAAGCCAGTCAATTAAATGCAACTTATAGCATAGTAAACCCTTAACGGCATCAAAGTATACAAGTAAAAAGCCCCATCCAAAACAAACAAGCAAACTAACTTCAACGATTAAAGGAACATTAGCTCACAGAGATGAGAAAGAACCAGAACCAGCATAACTACACTGGCAATTCAATAACCCAGAGTGTCTATTTTTAGATGACCACACTAACTCCCCAGCAACAGCTGTTAACCAGACTGAAAAGGCTGAAATAATAGACAGAATTCACAAGCTTGATGGCAATGAAGGTTACTGAGATTCAGGAGACAGTTAAAAGCCCATCCAAAGAATCTAAGGAATCAATTAGAAAGAAACAAGAGCTAAGAGACGATATAGTCATTTTTTTAAAAGACCCAAACTCTTGCCAGGCACAGTGGTTCACATCTGTAATCCCAGCAATTTGGGAGGCCGAGGCAGCCAGGTTACCTGAGTTCAGGAGTTCGAGACCAGGCTGGCCAACATGGTGAAACCCCATCTCCACTAAAAATACAAAACTTAGCCAGGCATGGTGGCACACACCTGTAGTTCCAGCTACTCGGGTGACTGAGGCAGGAGACTGGCTTGAATTCAGAGGTTGCAGTGAGCCGAGATCACACCACTGCATTCCAGCCTTGGTGCCTTGGTGACAGAGCAAGACTCCATCTCACACACACACACACACACACACACACACAAAGGAAAGAAAGACAATGACCCAAACTCGTCTAAGAGCTGAAAAACTCACTATGAGCATTTCATTGTTTAACTGGAAGTATTAACAACAGAAAGGACTAAGCTGAGGAAAAAAACTGAGAGCTGTGAGATGGATTCATTGAATCAACTCAGTTAAACAAATATAAAGGGGTGGGTCACTGTATTAGTCTGTTCTCATGCTTCTATAAAGAACTGACTGAGACTGGGTAATTTAGAATCAAAATAGTTTTAATTGACTCACAGTTCTGCATGGCTGGGGAGGCTCCAGGAAACATACACTTATGGTGGAAGGGGCAGCAAACATGTCCTTCTTGATATGGCTGCAGGAGAGAGAAGTGCAAAGTGAAGTGGGGGAAAGCCCCTATAAAACCTTCAGCTCTCATAAGAACTCACTCATTATCATGAGAACAGTATGATCCCCATGTCTAATCACCTCCCATGATGTCCTTCCCCCAACATGTGGGGATTACAATTTGCATTACAATTCAAGATGAGATTTTGGGTAGGGACACAAAGCCAAACTATATTATTCTGTCCATGGCCCCTCGCAAATCTCATGTCCTCACATTTCAAAACACAATTATGCCTTTCCAAGAATCCCCCAAAGTCTTAACTCATTTCAGCATTAACCTGAAAGTTCGAGTTCAAAATCTCATCTGAGAAAAGGCAAGTCCCTTCCACCTATGAGCCTGTAACATCAAAAGCAAGTTAGTTATTTCCTAGATACAATGGGAGTGCAGGTACTGGGTAAATACACCCATTGGAGATAGGAGAAATTGACCAAAACAAAGGAGCTATAGGCCCCATGCAAGTCTGAAATCCAACAGAGCAGTCATTAAACCTTAAAGTTTCAAAATGATGTCCTTTGACTCCATGTCTCACATCCAGGTCACACAGATGCAAGAGATGGGATACCATGGCTTTGGGAAGCTCCACTCCTATGGCTTGGCAGGGTACAGCCTCCCTTCTGGCTGCTTTCACAGGTTGGTGTTGAGTGCCTGCAGCTTTTCCAGGTGAGTGGTGTGAGCTTTTGGTGGATCTATCATTCTGGGATCCGGAGAATGACGGCCCTCTTCTCACAGCTCCACTAGTCAGTGCCCCAGTGGAGACCCTGCATGGATGCTCTGACCCCACATCTTCCTTCTGCACTGCCCTAGCAGAGGTCTCCATGAGGGCCCTTCCCCTGCAGCATACTTCTGCCTAGACATTCAGGTGTTTCCGTACATCCTTTGAAATTCAGGCTGAGGTTCCTAAAGCTCAACTCTTGTCTTCTGCACACCCACAGGCCCAATATCACATAGACTCTACCAAAGGTTGGGGTTTGCAGTATTATTAAAATGCTCATTCTGCCCAACCCAAGTTACAGATTCAATGCTATTCCTATCATACTACCAACAACGTTTTTCGCTGAACTAGAAAAAAAATTCTAGAATAAATTTGGAACCAAAAAAGTGCCTGAATAGCCAAAGTAATTCTAAGCAAAAAGAACAAAGCTGGGGGCATCACACTCCCTGGCTTCAAACTATACTACAAGGCTACAGTAACTAAAACAGACACATAGTGTAATGGAACAGTTTTGAGAGCACAGAAATAAAGCCATACATAAACAATCATCTGATTTTTAACAAAGCTGACAAAGACAAACAATGGGGAAAGGACATCTTATTCAACAAATGGTGCCAGGATAACCTGCTGACCATACACAGAAGATTTGAACTGGACCCCTACCTTTCACCATACACAAAAATCAACCCAGGATGGATTAAAGACATAAATGTAAAACCTCAAACTATAAAATCTCTAGAAGAAAACCTTGGAAGTACCATTCTGGAAATATTATGCAAGAAATAAAACCTACTTGATTGTGGTGGATTAGCTTTTTGATGTACAACTAGATTTGGTTTGCTAGTATTTTGTTGAATATTTCTTTATCTATGTTCATTAGAAATACTGGTCTGAAGTTTTTTTTTTCATTGCATCTCTGCCAGGATTTGGTATCAGAATGATGTTGTCCTCATAGAATGAGTTAGTTATGAGTCCCTCCTCCTCAATTATTTTAGATAGTTTCAGTAGGTGTGGTATCAGCTCTTCTTTATACATCTGGTAGAATTTGGCAGTGAATCCTTTGAGGCCAACACTTTTTCTGATTGATAGGCGTCGTATTGCCAATTCAGTTTGGACCTTCCTATTAGTCTGTTCAAAGTTTCATTTTCTTCCTGGTTCAATCTTTGAAGATTGCTTCCAGGAATTTATGCAGCTTCTCTGGGTTTTTCAGTTTGTGTACATAGAGGTGTTCATAATCATCCCTGAGGGTTGTTGTATTTCTGTGGGGTCACTGGTAATGTCCCCTTTGTCTCTTTTGTGATTGTGTTTATTTGAATATTGTCTCTTTTTTTTCTTTATAAGTTTAGATAATGGCCTATCAACATTATTTTTTCTTTCAAATACCCAACATTCAGTTTTGTTGATTTTTTTACATTTTTTTCTCATCTCCATTTTGTTAATTTCAGTTATGATTGTGGCCATTTCTTTTCTTCTACTACCTTCGAGGTTGGTTCTGTTTTGTTTTTTAGGTTCCTCTATCTGTGATGTTAGGTTGCAAATTTGAGATCTTTCTAGCTGTTGACATAAGTGTTTAGCACAATAAACTTTCCTTTTAACCATGCTTCAGCTGTGTTCTAGAGTTTCTGGTGTGTTGTATTTTTGTTTTCATCAGAGTCTAAGAATTTCTTGATTTCTGCCTTGATTTTATTGTTTACACAAAAGTCATTCAGGTTCAGGTTGTTTAATTGTCACTTAATCCTACAGTTTTGGCAGATCTTCTTGGTATTGATTTGTATTTTTATTGTGCTCTGGTCTGAGAGTGTGGCTGGTAAAATTTTTTTTTTATTTGTTGAGAATTGACTTATAGCTGAGCATGTGGTTGATTTTAGAATATGTGTCACGTGCAGATGATAAGAATATATATTCTGTTGTTGATGTGTGGAGTGTTCTGCAGATGTCTGTTAGGTGTATTTGGCCAAGTGTCAAGTTTAGGTCCCGAATATCCTTGTTAGTTTTCTGCCTCAGTGATCTGTCTTACACTGTCAGTAAGGTGTTGAGGTCTGCCACTGTCATTGTGTAGTTATGTAAGTTTCTTTGTATATCTCTAAGAGCTTGTTTTGTGAATCTGAGTGCTCCAGTGTTAGGTGCATATATATTTAGGATAGTTAAGTCTTCTTGTTTAATTGAATCCTTCATCATTACGTAATGCCCTTTATTGTCTGTTTTGATCATCGTTAGTTTAATGTCAGTTTTATCTAAAATAAGAACAGCAACACCTGTTTTTCTTTGTTTTTCATTTGTTTGGTAGTTCTTTCTCCATCCCTTTACTTTGAACCTATGGGTGTTCTCACATGTGAGATGGGTCTCTTGAAGACAGCATACAGTTGGGTCTTGATTCTTTATCCACTTTGCCACTCCATGCCTTTTAAGTGGGTGTTTAGCTTGTTTATCTTCAATATTGACATGTGCACATTCGATCCTCCCAGCATGTTGTTAGCTGGTTGTTATGTAAACTTGATTGTGTAATTACTTTATAGTGTTGATGGTCTATATACTTGAGTGTGTTTTTCTGGTGCTAGGTAACAGTCCTTCATTTTCATGTTTAGCACTTTCTTAAGGATCTCTTGTGGTCTCTAAAGGCCTGGTGGTAATAAATTCCCCTAGCTTTTGCTTATCTGAAATGGATTTTATTTCTCCCTTGTTTATGAAGCTTAGTTTGGTGGGACATAAAATTCTTGGTTCAAAATTTTATTTTTTCAAAAATGCTGAATATGGATTCTTAATGTCTTCTGACTGTGGGATATTGCTGAGAGTTCCCCTGTGAGTTTGATGTAGTTTCCACTTTATGTGACCTGCCCCTTGTCGTTAACTGCCTTTAATATTTTTTTCTTTTGCATTGACCTTCAAGAATCTGATTACTTTGTGTCTCTGCAATGGTTGTCTTACATAGCATCTTACATAGGTTATCTGAATTTTCTAAATTTATATGTCAATCTCTCTAGTGAAATTGGGGAAATTTTTTACAGAATCCCTTACTTCTCCAAGGTTTTTTCTTTTCTTTTTCTTTCTTTCTTTTTTTTTTTTTTTTGAGATGGAGTCTTGCTCTGTAGCCCAGGCTGGAGTGCAGTGGCATGATCTCGGCTCAATGCAAGCTCCACCTCCCGTGTTCCTACCAATCTCCTGCCTCAGCCTCCTGAGTAGCTGGGGCTACAGGCACTTGCCACCATGCCCAGTGAATTTTTTTTTTTTGTATTTTTAGTAGAGACAGGGTTTCACCGTGTTAGCCAGGATGGTCTCAATATCCTCCCAAAGTGCTGGGATTACAGGCATGAGCCACCATGCCTGACCTTTCATTTTTTAAAATTCTTCTTTTCTTTATTTATTTTCTGGCTGTGTTAACTTAAATAATCAGTCTTCAATCTCTGAGATTCTTTTCTTGGCTTAGTCCATTCTGCTGTGAATATTTCCAATCATTTTATGAAATTCTTGTAGTGTATTTTGTAACTCTACCTGCTAGGTTTGGTTTTAGTTTGTTTGTTTGTTTGTCTTGTTTTGTTTTTTCAAATGGCTAATTTTTTTCTCTTTAATCATTTTACTGGATTCCTCAGATTCTTGGAAATAGTGTTCAACTTTCTACTGAATTTCAATGATCTTCATTTCCTTCTACCTCTCAGTTCTATATCTGTCATTTCAGCCATTTCCTTCTATTTAACAACCATTGCTGTAGAACTAGTGCAGTCATTTGGAGGTAAAGTGACACTCTGACTTTTTGAGTTGCTAGAGTTCTTATGTTGGCTTTTTTCTCATCTGTGTGGGCTGGTGTTTCTTTAACTGTGGTATAATTTGAGCATAGTCAGTTGACTTTGTTTCTGGATGTTTTCAAAGCACCTTTTTGCATGATCTTTATTAGTAGCTGAATTATTGTCCTGGGTTTCACAGAGGCTTATATTAGCAAAGTAATTTTAGAGTTGAAGTTTCTGCTGCAATCTGGCTGATGACACTTAGGTATAATGGCTGATAGGTAGGCTCTTGTTCAGCCTACCTACCTATAATGGCTGATAGGTAGGCTCTTGTTCATACACAAATATATATTTTCTCACATTTGCAGCCATGCTCCGTGTCAGTATTCTGTGTGTGTAGGCTTCCCTCCTACTGAAATGCTGGCTGCATAGCTTGGCTTGTCACTGCAGTGCTGCACATCACAGCCCTGGGATGAGCTCAAGGTTTTTGTTTCCTCACAAGCTTGGGGACAAAAGGGGTGAGGACCTTGGCAGTGGTAATGTGTGGAGGTCTATCACTTGTCTTTTGCAGCTCCACCATACAGAAATGCAGAGATGCTGCCAAATGGAGTGGTCAACCTTTGATGGGGCCTGTGCATTTTGGAACCAAGCTGGGGGACACTACTGGTGATGAGCAGAGGGTGTCAGGGCTTGTGAGAAGACAGATTCATCTCTTCTCTGTAGGGTAGCTGCAGTGTGCTGGAGGTGTGAGTAAAGCACTTGGGGTCTTGTTCCCTCCCCAGTTGGAGGGCAGCAAGGGCAGTACTGCTGAATAGCGGTTGCAGAAAAACTTTCAGTTGCTTCTGGGATCTCCACCCCAGAGAAATGCAGAACCACTGCCACTGGGCATTTTCAGCCTGGAGTGGGGCTGCTGCACTATGAGCCTTTGCTGGGACCCCTGCCTGGTGAAGAGCAGGGGATCAGGGGCTCACAGAGAATAGAGATTGGGCTCCATGCCATATGGTGATCATATGGTAATCATAGTGTGCTGGAAGCATGAGTAAAGCATTCAGGCTCTTTTATTTCTTTCCCAGTCTAAGACAGCAAGGGCAGGTACCACTGCATTGGCAGTGGCAGTTGGCTGTCATTTGCCTCTGGGAGCTCCATCACAGGATAACACAGAGCCACTGGCAATAGAAATGTTCAGCTTGGGTGAGGTAGCTACTCTGCAGGCCCAAGCAAGGAGTTCTGCTTAGTGAAGGATAGGAGTTGGGAGCTCACAAGGAAGAGAGACTGGGCTCTACGCTATATGGCAGCTGTGTCATGATGAAGGTGCTAGTGAAGCAACCAGGATTTTGTTCTTTCCCCAGCCCAAGGGGAGTTTCTTAGTCCTTTTTTACACTGCTGATAAAGACATACCTGACACTGGACAATTTACAAAAGAAAGAGGTTTAATCAATTTGTAGTTCTACATGGCTGAGGAGGCCTCAAACTCATGGCA
This sequence comes from Homo sapiens, assembly GCF_000001405.40. Lineage (NCBI taxonomy): Eukaryota > Metazoa > Chordata > Mammalia > Primates > Hominidae > Homo > Homo sapiens. The sequence goes on from NC_000009.12 coordinate 67,769,663, forward strand.
GAAGTCAAGAAGAGGAGCAAGTCACATCTTACATGGATGACTGCAGCCAAATAGAGACCTCATTTGGGGAAATTCCCATTTTTAAAGCCATCAGATTTCATGAGACCCATTCACTATCATGAGAACAGCATGGGGAAGACTCACTCTCATGATTCAATCATTTCCCACTGGGTCCCTCCCACAACATGTAGAAGTTATGGGAACTACAAGATGAGACTTGGGTGGGGACACAGAGTCAAACCATATTATTATACCCCTGGCCCCTCCCAAATCTCATATCTTCACATTTCAAAACCAATCATGCCTTCCCAACAGTCCCAAAAAGCCTTAACTAATTTCAGCATTAACTCAAAAGTCCACAGTCCAAAGTCTCATCTGAGACAAGTCAAGTCCCTTCCACTTATGAGCCTGTAAAATCAAAAGTAAGTTAGTTACTTCCTAGATACAATGGGGGTACAGGCATTGGGTAAATACAGCCATTCCAAATGGGAGAAATTGGCCAAAACAACAGGGCTACATGCCCCATGCAAGTGTGAAATCCAGAGGGACAGTCAAATTTTAAAGCTCCAAAATGATCTCCCAGTAACTCTATGTCTCACATCCAGGTCATGCTAATGCAAGAGGTGGGTTCCCAAGGTCTTGGGTAGCTCCTCCCCCGTGGCTGTGTAGGGTACAGCCTCCCTCATGGCTGCTTTCACAGGGTGACATTGAGTGTCTTAGTCTTCTCTAGGTGCACAGTGCAAGCTGTCAGTGGATTTACCATTCTGGGGTCTGGAGGATGGTGGCCCTCTTCTCACAGCTGCATTAGGCAGTGCCCCAGTAGGGACTCTCTGTGGGGGCTCCAACCCCACATTTCCCTTCCACACTGCCCTAAACAGTGGTTCTTTGTGAGGGCCTCACCCTTGCAGTGAACTTATTCCTGGACATCCAGGCATTTCCATACATCTGAAATCTAGGCAGAGATTCCCAAACCCCCATTTTTGACTTCTGTGCACTCACAGGCTCAACATCAAGTGGAAGCTGCCAAGGTTTGGGGCTTGTACCCTCTGAAGCCACAGCCTAAAGTCTACATTGGCCCCTTTCAGCCATGGCTGGAGCAGCTGGGACACAGGGTGCCAAGTCCCCAGGCTGCTCACAGCATGATGACCTTGGGCCTGGCCCACAAAACCACTTTTTTTCTCCTAGGTCACCAGGCCTGTGATGGAAGGGGCTGCCATGAAGACCTCTGGCATGCCTTAGAGACATTTTCCCTATTGTCTTGGGGATTAACATTCATCTCCTCATTACTTATACAAATTTCTGCAGCTGACTTAAATTTCTCCTTAGAAAATGGGATTTTCTTTTCTATCACATTGTCAAGCTGCAAACTTTTTGAACTTTTATGCTCTACTTCCTTTATAAAACTGAGTGACTTTAACAGCACCCAGGTCACATCTTGAATGCTTTGCTGCTTAGAAATTTCTTCCATGAGATACCCTAAATCATCTTTCTCAAGTTCAAAGTTCCACAAATCTCTAGGCCTGGAGCAAAATGCCACCAGTCTCTTTGCTAAAACATAACAAAAGTCACCTTTGTTCTAGTCCCCAAGATCCTCATCTCCATTGGAGACCACCCCATCCTGGATTTCATTGTCCGTATCATTAACATCATTTTAGGCAAAACCATTCAACAAGTCTCTAGGTGGTTCTAAACTTTGCCATATTTTCCTGTCTCCTTCTGAGTGCTCCAAGCTGTTTCAACCTCTGCCTGTTACCCAGTTCTAAAGTTGCTTCCACATTTTCAGGCACTTTTCAGTAGAGCCCACTCTACTGGTACCAATTTACTGTATTATTCCATTTTCATGCTGCTGATAGACAGACCTGAGACTGGGCAATTTACAAAAGAAGGAGGTTTAATCAACTTACAGTTCCACGTGGCTGGGAAGGCCTCACAATCATGGTGAAAGGTAAGTAGGAGCAAGTCACATCTTACATGGATGGCAGCAGGCTAAGAGAGAGCTTGTGTCAGGAAACTCCTGTTTTTAAAATCATTAGATCTCATGAGACCCATCCACTATGACGAGAACAGCATGGGAAATACCCATCTCCATTATTCAGTCATTTCCCACCAGGTACCTCCCACAAAACATGGGAATTGTGGGATCTACAGGATGAGATTTGAATGGGGACACAGAGCCAAACCATATCAGGCAGCAAGGGTGGTACCACTGTATGTAATGGCAGAGGGGCTGTGGGTTGTCACTGGGAATTCTATCCCAGAGAAATGCACAGGTGCCACTGTCTGAAGTGTTCAAGTGGGAGCAGGGTAGCTGTGCTGGGGCCGAGGTCGGGAGGCCCTACCCAGTGAGAAGTAGCAGGAGCAAAGACAGGCATGGAAAAAAGTCTGACAACACCTCCATAAGGCAGATGTGCTGAGCTGAAGACCTGCTATAATCCTTAAGCCTCTTTGCTATCTCTTGATCTGAGGGCATTATGGGCAGGGGCTATAGCAGGCAAAAACGGCAGGCCTGTCTTATACCTATGAGAGCTCTGTCCCAGGGAAATGCAATGCTGCTTCTGGCCCAAGTTGTCAGGCTGAGGTAGGTGGCTGTGCTGGAGGCTCAAGCCAGGAGGCCCTGACCAGTGAGGAGTAGAAGGGGCCATGACCAACATTAAAAACTATATGACTGCTTTTCCAGAAGGCAGCTTGCCCTGTGCTGGAGGCCCACAACAGTCATAACACTCTTCACTCCCTCCTGACCTTGAAGGCAGTTGGGTAGTGGCTGGAGCTGCAATAGCAGCAAAAACAGCAGATATGTCTATTGCATCTGGGAGCTTCATCCCAGAGAAATGCAGAGCTGCTGCCAGTTGAAGAGGTCAAATGGGTGTTTCATGGCTGTTCTGGAGTTCCAGGTCAGTGTGCCTTGCCTGGAGAGGTTAACCAGAGGCAAGGCATGAAGTCCCTCTGCTCCTCAGAACCATGAATGTAGCCACTAACTTTTGGCATGCAGAGAACTTGGCGTTCTTGTTGGTGAAGCTATGGCAACTAGCACTGGGGTGCTTAGGGGTCTAAGACCCCTGGGACTTCTCATGTGCCTGATCTGGAGCTCTGCCCAGATTCTATGCAGCTCTCCTTGTTAGTCTGAAGGCCCCAGGGGGAGGGACTCAGGGTGGATCACCTGTGCCTATGATTACAAAGGTCCGTGACAGAAGTATGGGGCCATGGGGCTCTCTCTCAGTCACTATTTCTTTGTGGTAAGGATCCTCCCCTGACTCCACCCAATCCTGGGTGGGTGGCTGTTGTGTCTTGCTGTTTTTGTTCTCCATGGCTTCTGTTGCTTCCTTGCTGAATCCCAACATGTCCTCTTGGAAGATCCAGTTGAAGTGCTAGTGTTTACTGGCCAGTCTATTTCCTTTTCACGAGAGTGGAGCATACTAGCTGCTTCTAGTAAGTCATCTTGGCACTTGATCACAAAAGACATTTGTTTTTCACAGTTCTGCAGGCTGGCAAGTCCAAGTTAAAGGTGCCAGCAGATTCAATTCTTGGTAAGAGTTCTTCCTGGCTTGCAGACAGCTGCCTTCTCATTGTATTTTCACTAGGAAGAAAAAAGAAGGTCTAGTGTCTCTTAATTGGATAAATTTTTAAAACCAAAATTATTGAAGGTGATTCTAATACACCTTTCTCAGTAACTCATATAAATATACCGGATGCATTATTAAGATTATTAGTGTATTTAAAAATATACAATTTCTGGCTGGGCGCAGTGGCTCATGCCTATAATCCTAGCACTTTGGGAGGCCAAGGCGGGCGGATCATGAGGTCAGGAGATCAAGACCATCCTGGCTAACACAGTGAAATCCTGTCTCTGCTAAAAATACAAAAAAAAAAAAAATTAGCTGGATGTGGTGGTGGGCACCTATAGTCCCAGCAACTATGGAGGCTGAGGCAGGAGAATGGTGTGAACCCAGGAGATGGAGTTTGCCGTGAGCCGAAATCATGCCACTGCACTCCAGACTGGGTGACAAAGCGAGATTCCCTCTCAAAAAAATAAAATAAAATAAATAATTATATAAAAATAAACAATTTCTGCCCTTATTTATCTATATAATTTTGTATAATTATTTTATGATTGCTTATTATTCATTTTAGTAGCCACTTTGAAAATAATTAATGTTTGTATAAAAATAAACATTAATTTAATAAACTAACAGAATAGCATATAAATTTCCACTAACATCCTATCAAAATTTATATAATTATAGTATTTTATAAGTCATTTTAGTGCTATATAAAGTTAAGAAAAATGGCCAAAAGTCTAAAAAAATTTAAAAAAATAAAATAGGAATAGAAAAAGGAAGAAAATAATTTATTTTTTTAAGTTAAAAAATCATTTTTTTAAATGTAGAGAAATACATGTTTTTAAGAGAACACATACCTTTAATCACAAGAAAAAAGTGCCTTTAAAAATAAAAATATTATATAACATAATAATATAAAAGTTTCTTTTTGAATTTTGAAGTTGTTATAGTTTTAAAATTGTATGTATTTGGCATTTCTTTTATTTTGCTTTATGTTAACATTCAAATTTCATCTTCGAATTTTAATTATCCTTAAAAATTTCTAGGTGCCTCTTAGTTGAATTCTAGACAAAATTTATCTTTACAACTTTTTTTTATTATACTCTAAGTTCTAGGGCACATGTGCAAAATGTGCAGGTTTGTTATATATGTATACATGTGTCGTGTTGGTTTGCTGCACCCATTAACTCATCATTTACATTAGATATTTCTCTTAATGCTATCCCTCCCCCATCTTTTTATCTGCTATACAAATATATTTTTATGCAATATCAGTCATTAATATAGTTAATGATATAGTTAGCATAGTTAATTACAAAACGTAGTAATTTTATTGTTAAATATTATAATTTTAAATTATTATTAATGGTTTTTACAATATGTATCATATTAGTAATACACCTTAACACACCAAAAGTATGTCAGCCCATAATGATGTTATTTTACTCATTTATTTTAGTTTCGTGTTTGAAATTTTTATGTTCAGCTAATAGAAAAAAAAATAACAAGACAGAGAAATACAAATATAGCAAATATCGTCCAAGCAATAATCCCCAACTGAACAATGCCAAGATATACATTGTCTGATTTCTTCTTTCATTTAGATATTTGCATGAATTTTAAAGCTTTTGTATATTTTTTATTTTATTAAAAATAATTTTCTGTCTTGCTTAACATGTTGCTTATTTAAAAACATAAAATATTTAATCTACTTCATATCATCCAAATATATGAATTAGCTCATTTTCTCTTCTCTATATATGATCTTGTGTCTTTATTCAGACAAAATAGTTCTGTCATTTAAATGCTTCCTTATCTTTGGCATAGTGTGATTTTTCTTTTTAAAATTATTATAGTTCAATAATATATCAAGCTAGTGGGAGAAAAGCAAAGGTGAATTAAACTATGTTTCAGTAAAATGTAAAAAAAAAATCTGATTTTAAGTAATTACTAACTATGTACAGTCACGAACTCATGAACCAACAGTATAGAAGAAATAATTGGTGCGATTTGGGCAAACTAGAAAAAGCCAAGAAAAATGAAAAGATCTTTTTATATGATCATTCTTAATTAGAGCCACTGACAGTGAATGTAAGAATGTTTAATGTATGTGACCTATAAAGATTTGCTAGATTCTGACTGACTCAGAGGTTATATATTACTTCTCACACTTCTTTATTAAAATTATTTTGTTGTTGTTTTTTTTTTTTTTTTTTTGAGACGGAGTCTCGCTCTGTCGCCCAGGCCGGACTGCGGACTGCAGTGGCGCAATCTCGGCTCACTGCAAGCTCCGCTTCCCGGGTTCACGCCATTCTCCTGCCGCCCGCCACCACGCCCGGCTAATTTTTTGTATTTTTAGTAGAGACGGGGTTTCACCTTGTTAGCCAGGATGGTCTCGATCTCCTGACCTCATGATCCACCCGCCTCGGCCTCCCAAAGTGCTGGGATTACAGGCGTGAGCCACCGCGCCCGGCCATTTTGTTTTTAACTTAAGCATCATTTTTATAACTAAAGTGACAGTTATACATGAACAAGTATAATAGTTTGTCTAAAATATTTTGTACCAAAGCAGGAAGACTGAAGTGTGAATAATCTCAGTAAAAATGTATAAAATATATTTTGGACATGCAGTCACTAAAGTGACAGTTATACATGAACAAGTATAATAGTTTGTCTAAAATATTTTGTACCAAAACAGGAAGACTGAAGTGTGAATAATCTCAGTAAAAATGTATAAAATATATTTTGGACATGCAGTCATTCATTGAAATGTACACATGAAGTAAATCAAGTGACCTCATTATTGAATAAATTGAGAAATACATGAGGTTGAATTAATTTCTTCTTCCACAGAATTTTTTTATTTATTTCATTTTTGTTCAATGTTTCTTGATATAAAATAGATTATTTTCTATTATTTTCAGATGTCTCAGAAATCTTTCCAGTTCTTTCCTACGGTCTTCAATACATTTTTAAAAATTAATGCAAAATGTGGACCATTTAAAAACTAGATTTTCTCAAAGACTGAGTGTTGAAGGTAGTGCCCCTGGAGATTATTTGTTAAAGAATGTTTAAAACTAACTAGCACATGCCTAGTCTTTGACATGATTTGTTTTGTAAGATCCTTGTCATCATGATATGTATTCAGGAAAAGGAGTATTCTCAGATTACAGATAAAGAAGCTAAGTCAGACATGTATTGAGTATGTAACTTGATGTGAGCCATAAATAAAAATGTGCCAAATATATTAGGTAATTGTATAAATCTAAAGCATTCTATAATAGTATATTATCTCTGGCTGGTGAATCTAGCAAACACAACATATAGTTATCTCTCCATATAGGTGGGGATCAATTCCAGGGGCACCTTCATGTACCAAAACCCACATATACTCAAGTTTCCCAGTTGGCCCTGTGGAACCTGTTTATAGGAAAAGGCAACCCTACAGAAAACACCGCACTTTTTATTGAGTTTGGTTGAAAAAATAATATGCATATAAGTGGACCTGCGTAGTGTACACATGTGTTCAAGGGTCAACTGTAGCTGAAAGCAAACCACATTTAGTTTATACATATATTTTAGAGAGAATATTTGTGAAGTGTTTTATTTTTTTAAAAAAAAGCTAACTAAAGAACTAAAAGAACCAAAAGCAAACCAAAATATAAAAAATAAACATTTTTCTAGCTCTGCAATGTAAGACATTTACTTTAAATTATTCAAATGTAGCTAAATAGGAATCTAATTTAAAGTTTATGCTATTTTTGAAGTAAGAAACATGCTGTGTCATTTATGAAACTAGAAATATATGATTGAAAAAGAGTCTACATAGTGAGAGAACTTGACCATAATCTTTGAAAGTAAAATCAAACGAAAGCTTATGTAAAAAGTGTGATCAATAGGCTTTAATTTTTAAAATATGATAATAAAATAAGAGATATTGAATGTTGCTAAAATTTTTAAATATGTTATGATAACAGCATACATGGAATATTATACATTTATTCAAATTATGTTTTAAAAATAATGACATAAACATACTTCTTATACATTATGATTGAAATGCTGAGGTTTTATTTAATACATAACCAATAAAGCTAAGAAACCCTTAAAAATCAAGATGTACTCCTTAAATAAAATATTGAGTGAGTACTTATAAGGCAATAAGTTTTGTAAAATATGCTAAAAATTTTTAAAAATTCTCTACATATTCGAGTCATACTTGAAGATACTGTGGGTTTTGTTCCAGACCATCACAATAAAGCAAAAATCACAATAAAACAAGTCAACAAAAATTTTTGGTTTCTCAATGCATATAAAAGTTATGTTTACATTGTACTGTAAAGGGTGTAATAGTATTATGTTTAAACAAATAATGTACTTACCTTAATTTTAAAAAGCTTTATTGCTAAGTAATGTTAATCATCTGAGCCTTCAGTGAGTCATAATGTTTTGGTTGCTGGAGGGTCTTGCCTCAGTACTGGTGGTTGCTGACTGATCAGGGTTGTGATTGCTAAAGGCTGGGGTGGCTGTGGGAATTTCTTTTTCTTTTTTTTTTTTTTTTGAGTCAGAGTCTCACTCCGTCGCCCAGTCTGGAGTGCAATGGCACCATCTCGGCTCACTGTAACCTCCACCTCCCAGGTTCAAGCAATTCCCCTCCCTCAGCCTACCAAGTAGCCAGGATTGCAGGTGCCTGCCACCACACCCAGCTAATTTTTGCATTTTTAGTAGATATGGGGTTTCATTTTGGCCAGGCTGGTCTCCAACTCCTGACCTCAGGTGATCTGCTCTCCTTGACCTCCCAAAGTGCTGGGATTACAGGTGTGAGCCGCCGTGCACAGAGTTTCATAAGACAGCAATGAAGTATGCTGCATTGAATGACTCTTTCATGAAAGACTTCTCTGTAGCATAGGATATCATTTGATAGTACTTATCCACAGTAGAACTTCATTCAAAATTAGAGGCAATCCTTTCAAGCCCTGCCATTGCTCTATCAATTACATTTAGGGACTATTCTAAATCCTCATTGTTATTTCAATAATGTTCACAGTATCTTCACCAGGAATAGATTCCATCTCAAGAAACCACTTTCTTTGTTCATCTATAAGAAGCAACTGCTCATCTGTTAGTTATATTACAAGATTGCAGCAATTCAGTGACATCTTTAGGCTCCACTTTTAATCCTAGTTCTCTTGCTATTTCCATTACATCTGCAATTACTTTCTCCTCTGAAGTCTTGAACCCCTCAAAGTCATCCATGAGGGTTGGAAGCAACTTGTTCTAAACTCCTACTAATGTTGATACTTTAGCTTTCTTCCATGAATCACAAATGTTCCTAATAGTATCTAGAATGGTGGATCTTTTCCAGAAGATTTTTCAGATCCATCAGAGGAATCACTATCTATGACACCTACAACCTTACAAAATGTATATATTAAGTTATAAGACCTGAAAGTCAAAATTGCTTCTTGATCCATGAGCTACAGAATTGGTGTTGTGTTAGGTTGCATGAAACAACATTAATGTCCTTGTATATGTTCATCAGAGCTCTTGGGTGACCACGTACATTGTCCACAAGCAGTAATATTTGAAAGAGAATCTTTTATTTGGATCAGTATGTCTCAACAGTGGGCTTAAAGTATTCAGTAAACCATGCTATAAACAGGTGTTCTGTCATAAAGGCTTTGTTGCTTCATTTATAGAGACAAGCAGAGTAGATTTGGCATAATTCTTATTAGCCTTAGGATTTTCAAATGGTAAATAAGCATTGGCTTCAACTGAAAGTCACTAGCTGCACTAACCCCTAACAAGAGTGTCAGTCTGTCATTTGAAGCTTTGAAGCCAGGCATTGACTTCTCCCCTCTAGCTATGAAAGGCTTAGATGAAATCTTCTTTCAATATAAAACTGTTCTGTCTACATTGAAAATCTGTTGTTTAGCGTAGTCACATTCATCAATTATTTTAGCTAAATTTTCTAAATAATTTGCTGAAGGTTTTTCATCAGCAGTTACTGTTTCACTTTCCACTTTTATGTTGTTAAGATGGCTCCTTTCCCTCTACCTTAAGAACCAACCTTTGTCAGCTTCCAACTTTTCTTCTGCAGTTTTCTCTTACCTCTCTCAGCCTTCATAGAATTGAAGAACATTAGAGCTTTGGTCTAGATTGCGTCTTGGCTGAAGATAATGTTGTAGCTGATTTGACTTTCTGGCCAAACCACTAAAACATTCCAAGTCTCAGCAATAAGGCTGTTTCTCTTTCTTATTGTTCCTGTGTTCACTGGAGTCGCAGTTTTGATTTCCTTCAAGAATTTTTTCTTTGCATTCACAACTTGGCTAACTGTTAAAAACAAGAGTTCTAGCTTTAGATCTAAGTTGGCTTTTGACATGTCTTCCTTGCCAGGCTTAAGTATTTCCGGCTTTTGATTTAAAATAACACACATGAAAGTCTTTCTTACACTTGAACACTTAGAGCCTATTATAAGGTTATTAACTGGCCTAATTTCACTATTGTTGTGTCTCACAAATTGGAGTCGCTAAGAGAGGGAGAGAGACAGGGAAGTTCTGTTCAGTGGAGTAGTCAGAAGACACACAATATGTATTGATTAAGTTGCTATCTCTTAAAGGTATGGTTTGTGGTTTCTCCCCATATTACAGTAGCAACATCAAAGATCACTGAATACAGATCACCATAACAGATATAATAATAGTGAAAAAGCTTGCAATATTGTGAGAATCACCAAAATGTGACACGGAGACATGGAGTGAGCACATGCTGTAAACAAAGTGGCTCTAGTAGACTTCCTCAATGCAGGCTTGCCACAAACCTTCAATTTGTGAAAAAGGCAGTATGTGAAGTGCAATATAGCAAAGGTATATGTAAGGTACCAGTACATCACCATGATAGACCCAAACTTTATACCAGGCACTACCGAAAGAGTAAAATTAGCACAACAGTTAGCATAGACAACATGACAACTTTTGTAGGGCCATAGTATAGTTTCAGATATTGTTCACATTCTCTGCAACAAAAGAAGTTAAGATACATTACAGAAAGGAGAATATGAAAGCAGTATTAGTAAAAGGGAATATCCCAACAATAGGAAAGCACCCCATTTGGATATTTACAAAAATTCTAAAAATTATCTTGTGAAAATGTGAAATCCATATTTTAAAGGTCTTCGAAAAAGAGAAAAATAGACTAAAATTTTATTAATTAAAGTAAATATTAACTCCAATAAATGAGGAGAATTAGAATGCATTAAGGTGTTTTAAAATTATAAAACTTACTAAAGTAATTTGGAAAAAAATGTGTATCGATAACACTCATTTAAGAAAACATGGTCACGATTTAGTCAAATCTCATCTTTTGTCCCTTGTTTTTGTTTTTAAAAGTTGTAATAATAATTGATATTTACTCAATATCTTCATATATTGAGTAAAACCATATACCAAACAAAAATTGCATCCTTTATATAAGTAGAGAAATTAGACTTAAAATAAATAACAAGTGAGAGACCATGGTGCCAACCTAGTTTGTCATTTTTCTTTAGAAAATCCTAAGTTATTTGTTGTCAAAATTATCAATATTTTATATTTTGTTGCTCTTGCAAGTAAAGCATTTCTAATTAAAGACCTTAGGGCTTCACATATCCTTCAGATAGCTGGTAAAATGCTGCTTTTTGCTAGAAGCCTTCTCCGCCCTTTCTATATAACAGCAACCTCTCTTCTCAGTTTCTTGTCATCTCCAGTACACCTTCTAGCTGCTTTTCTAATTTTATTTTTCCCAAGCACAACTTAGCACTTTACTGGAAGTCATCTGTTTTCTGCTTCACAAAGCAAGGACTTGTCTCCGTTGTGCCCAGCTCTAGCCTCAGGGCCTAGAAAAGTACTCAGCGTGTAATGTGCACCAATTACATGTATATTGGATTAATATTTAAATGTGTATATACTTAGCTGTGAATAAATAGCATCAATATTCGTTTTTTAAATGTTAAAAATATAAAGTGTATAGCCTTCAAAAGTACACTGTACATAAATAATTTGAAGGTGATGAAGAGGACCCTGAAACAGGAATGGATTCCTAATTCCTAGCAGGGATTTAATGGCCATCACGGAGCAGCCAGATGTTATAAGATAAGGATATAAGATCTGAGAGGCATGGCAGGTAAGAATAGAGCTAACATACATTTTACTTAAAATTTTTGAATTGGCTATATTGAAAAAAGTTTAACACATGTTACCACAGCAAACACTCTAAAAACTCTCTACTAAGAATTTTGGCTTAGACCAAGGCCAACATTGCTCTGGACATAAAATGGCCTTTTATACATGATGATGATATTTTCAAAACTAAGTAAGTTAAGTACATTATTTAAAAGATTTTAGTCCTGTTTTACCTGTTATTTCACTACTAAAGGATTTTTCTACTCTGAGTTCACTTTATCATTCTTTTTTCAGAATTTTATCTGTGCTTATTTTAAATAAACATGAAAATTACTACCATTTAAGATAAATATCCTTTTATCTTTCAATTATTTTTCCAGAGCAGTGCTTTAAGTATTCATATAATTATGAGAGTTTCTAAAATTTTACATATTTTATAACAGTTCATTCTGTGTGAGTTTTCTTTTAATTTTTATAAGAAATATCTTGAGAACAGTGATACATAATATATTATGCAAAACCTGAAAAAAATAGTAAGTTATTTCCAGCATCAAAGGTCATTTATTCTTCTGAGAGCCTAGTGACCTTTAAGTTAATTTCCTATTTTATGGATTTTTATAAATTACTTAGTATGTGGGTTATGTGTACAGAAAGCACACCACGTAACTTTAAATTGTTCTCAAATCATTTTGTAAGTCATCAGATAAGTAGCTACTTAAGTAATCTATATATTTGTAATAAATATTTGTGTAGAAATAATAGAATGAGGAAGTCCTTCTTCATAACTTTGAATAAAACACTATTTCTCCAGTTAACCTGGAGGGCAAATAAACCTTTTAAAAATATAACAGAAAAGTTCGATAAGAGCACAAAGTGTGTATTAAGTAAATGTTACAAAGGATAAATGGAAGTGAAATACCTGGATTATCCTTACTGAGAATTCAACACCTATAAATGAATTATAAGTGAAATCACAACTATCACAAACTTTGCTCCATCTCATTTTGGAATTGTAACAGCCTCAAGGGCATAATAACTTTCAAAAGACGGTCACTGAGTGCCAACTATATGCCAGCCCATATGCTAGGTACGGACTGCTAGGTTTTTTTCTTACTAATTAGAATCACTTAACTGCTTGAAAATGTGCATTGGTGGTAAACCTATTATCAGCCCTTACTCTATCTTTAAAATTTTAAGTTAAATTTTTGATTTAATGTAGAATCATTTTATACACACACACACACACGCCACACACCGAAACATATAACTATTTTTCTTGAAATATCAAAATACCACAAAAGCATTATGATTTTGTTTTCCTAAAATGTTTTAGTGTAAATGACAGTTAGATCTGTAGTCTGATTGCCTTAAAAAGTTGTTTCATCTCTCTGAACTTGAATTATTATTATTATTATTTTTTGAGATGGAGTCTCGCTCTGTAGCCCAGGCTGGAGTGCAGTAGCACGATCTCGGCTCACTGCCAGCTCCACTTCCCAGGTTCACGCCATTCTCCTGCCTCAGCCTCCCGAGTAGCTGGGACTACAGGTGCCCACCACCACGCCCGGCTAATTTTTTGTATTTTTAATAGAGACGGGATTTCACCATGTTAGCCAGGATGGTCTCGATCTCCTGACCCAGTGATCTAACCCCCTTGGCCTCCCAAAGTGCTGGGATTACAGGTGTGAGCCCGAACCCTGAACTTGAATTTTTTAATCTGTAAAATGACATGATAATATTAATATGCTGATCAAAGTTTGTTTGCTCTCAGATCAATTTCCTCAGCAGTTTTCTTGTATTTTTTCACTGTAACAGAAATCTGCATTTCCCATGCTTCCTTGTCATCTAGTCTTTGGGTAGATTCAGGCAAGGGAAGGCAAAAGCCAAAGATTGAAGGACAGGAAAAGGCAAGGAGAAGGGCCACTTCTGTTTTTGTTTGTTTGTTTTCTCTGCTTCTAATGACACCTACATCAGAGGTCATATTTCTCCCTGGTCCCATTTCTCACCAGCAGTAATTCTACTGTGAAATGGCTCATTACTGGATCTCTGGAACTTTAGTTTCTCCCATTGACCTTACTATCATGAGGAAAGGATTAGTTCTCTGCTAGTGCTAATACTTTCATCACTATTCCTTGCTTTGTTTCTTAGTTATTTTCACCCTGATGTTACCTGCTCCACATAATAAAATCAGATTGTTTGTAAGTCCTAGACTAGTTTCTGCCTTGCTGGCTATATCCTCAATGAAGAGCAAATATTTACCTCATGGGAGAAATAGACCTAATGGATTTAGGAGTTTAGCAGTTTACAGGGCACAAATTAAATCTCAATAAATATTTACTCTGAGTAAAAAAGTACAAAATAGAAGTACAATTCTTTTTTATTGTCACTGATTTCAGAGCAAAATGAATCAACAGTTGACAAATTAAGGATTAACTTATGCAAGATTATTCAACAAATATTTATTATTCATTTGCTCTATGCCAGAAATGTGTCTTCATGCCAGGTTAAGAAAAAGAGAAAACAGAAAAAAAATAGCTGTCCCTGACTAAAAGAGCTTACGTTCTTTCTTTTTGGGCGAGAAAGGCAGTGAAAAATTAAAAAAAGAAACGCAGTATTAACATGCGGATAAGTTCTAGGGTGAAATTTGAATGCAGATCCGAGTGACTGTCTGCCTCTCAAAAGAATTCTGCTGAGATGTCTAGAAGTAAGTAGAGTAGCAAGCAAATATCTACAGCGCGTGTCTCTTTCAAAGACAGAAAAACAAAGTGGTTTTTAAGGTGGGTGAATCTTGGCATTTCCAAGAAATACCAGGAGGCTCTTAAGGATAGAATGACCAAAACAATGAGGGCTGTGATAAAATAAATTGGGGGAGGTATGGAGAAGGATCCCATATTGTTGCTTTCACAAACAATGACAAGGTTTTGGGTTTTACTTTGAGAAGGGGAACAATTAGAAAGCTATGAGCAAGACTGTGAAATTATTTGATTTATGTTTTATAATCATTCTGACTCCTGGCTGAAAAACAGCCTCTAGGAATGAAAGTGAGAGAAATAGGGTCATCATTTATGAAGCTATTCCAATGATCCAGTGCTTTGGCAGTTGCCTGGACATGGCTAGTAAGAGGTAAAAGTAATCTGATACATCTTAAAGGCAGGTGTTCATGGATTTGATATGGCAAATGAAAGAAAGAAACCACTATGTGTTATATTCCTTGAGCCAAAATTGAGGTGTAAAATAAACATGCTCACATAAATGGTTGATTATGTTCTTAAATGAAGGAGAAAATAGTTGCAGTGATGTTAAGTCATCAACCATTTAAAATGTTGCTTTTGAAAGAGATGAATCAAGGAAGGGATGGACATGAATTTTCCTTACCTAAAAAGCTAGTGAAAATTAAGAGTGACATGAACAGGATTAAAACTTTATTTTATAGTGGTACTGAGATGAAACATCACACTATCTGACTTCATAGCTTAAAAATATAATCACCCCACCAACTTCTCACTCTTTTCAAGGATTTTGTGAGTAACCAGCTTTAATTTGGAAAACCTAGACTTCTACATACAGATTGTTATGTTTGTGAGTATGATTATTTCTATCATTTTGTTTTACATTGTGCTTTATCATTCAATAATTAATATCTATCATTTTCCATTAACTAATTTATTTTATGACCATTTATTATTATTATTACCCTATGGTAGTCAATAATTACTGATACATATTCCATTGTTTTTTGGGATTTGATATAGAATCAGAGAAGTTTGTTGCCAACTCCTTTTTAGTTGAATATATATTGTTTTTGTCTTATATTTAGTTTTTGTAAAACTTCAGATTTTCCATCTTGCCCCACTATTTATTGCTAAAAATCATATCCAAATATGACAAGGTTTAGGAACACACACAGTTAATGAACACATGTTAAAGTATAATAACACAGAATACATTTTTGAAAGTAAGTTTATTAAAATTAGAAATATATTTCTAGTTATATGCATAAGGATATACCAACATGGATTTTGCCTGCCCAATATTAATTTTCTCTTAATTTCTTACTTACAGAACTTCAATTTGGTCATGAGTCTAAGCCCCAAATTATGTTTGCTGTCGTATACTCATGACAGCTCTTTTTCTTGATTTTTCTAGCCTTTATCCATTTGGAAATGTGAACCACCTTTTATAGGTGAGATACAGTATAGCTGAACACTTCTCTAAAGGTTTCTGTAAAAAAGCATAAATGTACAAGCCTATCATCCCGATTCTATTTAGTTTGCCTTGAATATGAATGTGATAAATGAAGTAAGATCTCACATCTTGCAACATGAAATGGGAGAAGGGTCAACATAGAAGAAATGTCAGAAGAAATGAACCAATAGAAAATTCCTCATTTGCTAAATTTTGTTAAAAGAAAAAAATAGATTTTAATATTAATCTGATCTACACAGGCAAATGTTAACTGCAATGAAAATGTCTTTTAGATAATTCAGAACACTTTCCATCTTTGGTAAAAGTATTCATTTTACTGACTCACTATTATATATTTTGTTAAGTTAGAAACTCATATTCAATCAAAGGAAATAAAAGTTCCCCCTAATTTCTAGGAATATAAAAAAATAGGTACACATAGCTTAGATAATATTTTCTATATTTGTTCAAGTAAATCAGTTTAGTAATTGTTTGAAATACTTCCAATTGATATGAGTCCAATTTTAGAAGGAATTTTAGTTGGAAGTGTTATTCTCTTTATGAAGATGTAAATGGCTCTGTTTACTGGCCAATATTTACATACACATACAGTCAATGAATGTTAATTTGCACACAGTGGCATATATAATTCAAAGTTCATTTTATTAGTTAATTTAGATATGGTTCAATGAGAGTTTCAAACTGAGGGCATAGAGTCATATAACATACTCTAGAAGAACAACTCACAAAAACTAAAATAAATTGCTTTACCATGTTTGCCTTTGTATTTCACTTTTTGTGTTCTGAAGAATAAGCATGGTAAAATTTACATATATCTAACGCATATAATGGGCAATGTATGAATTATTTTACAAATTACTCATAACCAGAAGAGTTCTGTTGGATTTTACCATATGGCCAGATTCATCTTGCCTTTCAAACTTATGTAAGTAATTTTTCCAAATCTCTTTTTTTCCCATAACATACATGCTGCTGAGTCCACTCCTCCAAACTAAGTAAAGATAGGAATGCTCATGGCCAAATCATAAGTATAGAAAGTGACTTTTGAACTGATGAAGACTTTCTTCTTGTCTACGCTTTAGTCAGGCTTCTAGGAACACTCTTTTTGACTCTACTTTGTCCTTGGGCCCTGTCTTTACACTGCCTAGTCCAGCTGTTGCAAGAATGCTGCTAAGTCAGTTTAGAGAGAATCTCCCACTCTTGATATCTGATCACTCTGGCTTGCCTTCAGCAAGAATCCTCTTACGTTAGCTAACAAGAAATCCCCTACCCTTGATGTCTCCTCTTAGTAATTTGTATTCATTGACAACTTTTCACTCTGCTCATTAGCTGCACTTCCCAGATATCTTTGCTGTGTTCAGAGTTGAACCTTATCTCTCTTGCCTGTTAGAATCATCTTGACACCTATCATTTTAATCTTAAATAAAGTGATCCTTAACCATTTTAACAAGTGTTGGAAATTTTTTTATTTAGCAGAACTAACAAATTGTTTGCGAACTATTGAAATAGAACTATTCTATTATGGCCTGCAGATATTTTTCTCAATTATAATTCACTTTCATACTGTAAAAGTATCTTTGCTTTGTGTATATCTTTTTCATATAAAAACTTTTAATTTGGCAGGGAATAGTGGCTCATGCCTGTAATCCCAGAACTTTGGGAGGCCCAGACGAGTGGATCATGTAGGTCAGGAGTTGAGACCAGCCTGGCCAACATGGCAAAACCCCATCTCTACTAAAAGTACAAAAATTATCCGGGCATGGTTGTGGGCACCTGTATTCTCAGGTACTTGGGAGACTGAGGCAGCAGAATCGCTTGAACCCAGGAAGCAGAGGTTGCAGTGAGCCAAGATCAGGCTGCTGCACTCTAGCCTGAGTGATAGAGTGAGTGAGACTCTGTCTCAAAAAACAAAAAACAAAAAAACCTTTCGATTTATTTTCCAGAGGTCTATTTTTAATTTAGTAACAAGATTTTAAAAAATATTTATAAAATTAAATAACAATAGAATGTTAGAACTAGGCCCTATAAAATATAAAATTGTCAAAATTGGTTAGCATGATTGTAGCTTGAAGGATCCTATTGTTAATGTGGCAACTTCTGAAACCAAACATCATCATGCTTAGCATCAAGAGCTAAAGTAGTCATGAGTTAATGGAGAAGAACAACTAAGGAATTGGCTGCCGAAGTAAAGTTTATGCTAAATTTAAATGAAATGAAATAACAAAGTAGTTTGAAATGAACATTCCATTGATTATTTTTAAAATTTTATTTATTAACAAAGTAGCTTATACTAACTGCCCACTGTCTATCCCAATAGTTACAGCAATAACATATAGTTAACATTTGTAATTAAATATTTCATTTCATACAAATAGTATTTTAAAATTCAAGTGTTGATTTTTAAGCCTTTGAATGTTTGGCTGTTTAAAATTTAAGTGCATATAAAAATTGTAGAAAAGGGTCATTATTAATAAAATATTCAAAATATGGTAAATTTTGCATGATGATTTAATATATGCAAATTGACAAGTGATGTGAATAGTACATTTGAATAGAGAAAATATGTACATAAATGAATGGTATTTCAGAATCTAAGCAAATTGATGACTACATTATGTACTTGTCCCCAATGTAAATGAAATATTAATTAGAAAACTTTTTTTTTTCACTAAAGGGCTGAACATAAAGTGTGATGGCAAATTGGTGTGTTCTTGTATTTCTTGTCTTTGGGGATTCTTTTCAGTATATTTTCACTTAATGTTTTAGCAACATTTTTCGTCATCCTTTTACACTTATAGCTGGACTATGCTTAGTGATAGAAAATAGTTATATAATGGGATTATACTTGGCCATATGAATTTGATGGTATGAGTTAATCTGTGTTTCATCTTACTTGTGTCTACTTGTAAGTCATTGATGCTAATGTTATTAGTAATTTTTAGAGGGTAGAAATGTTTTCTATATGACATTTTTGAGAAAAGGAAGTCAATAAATTCCATTTGATATGCAACAGAAATAAAGATCTCTTATTTCAATTTTAAAATGCTTTATAACTTACATTGCTTTGTTTTATGCATTATTTGTTTTGATCAGATGCAAAATGAGTCAGTAATGTCATCTAACCACAAGTTTGATACATTTTTTTAAAGAAAAATTTCCAAAATACTTTAACTGAGCAATAGGCTAATACTTCATAAATTAAAATATTTAAATATTCAATCTTTCTGAGTGGATATTTGTTGCATATCTGATAACTTGGCCTAATTCTGTAATTGGGATGAGAACTACCCAATTTTATTGGTAACCTCTTTTCTGCTCTGCAACTTTGGAAATACTATGGAGGACTCCAAATTCATTTGAGACAAAAATATTAAAAATGTATCCCCTGATTAGGATTTCAGTTCCAAAGCTCTCCTTGGAGGGATATAGAGCTGGAGAAAATCACATTTATTTTTCGTCTCTTTAATATTGATATATAAAAGTCAGGTTAAAATTAGTATCAAATTGGGAAGCCTGCACGGTAAACCGGCTGGAATAATACACTCTGCAATATGAAGGAAAAAGGAAAAATTTAGTTGATTTATTTACCTAACTATAATTTTTTAAAGAATTTTAAGTTTCTAATAAATTTAACTATAAATTTTTAATTTTCTATCTTTCATTTAGTACCATCTATATAAACTTTTCCAGGCTACTTCTCTGAATCACCTGGCAAAATCTTATAATTTACCACCTAATTGAATAAAACACACACACAAAATAATCTATTTTGAATAATAAACATCATTTATAATTATCTTGTTGAGATTGAGAGTAATCATCAGGTGTGGAAAAACTATTGAGGAAATTTTAACAATTTAAAATGTAATAATCTTTTTTGTATTATGTGTGTTTTATACTCAGAAGTGCATATGTTTTATAAAATTATGTGAATTTATAAATGTGGTCAATATTAATATTAAATTGTATCTTTTAATAGTATCTTCAATTATCTTTTTTTTTGCTGCTGGATTCCATTTAGAAAAAAAAATGTTCTGTATAGCAGTGTTGCTTTCTTTTTCTTTTCTTTTTGCTTTTCTTTCTTTTTTCTATTGATAAAGTATTTACTTGATCTTGGGGAAGAGGTATATAATCAAGTGACCACATTTTTCTTTGTTACATATTATTAAAAATTTATAATCAATCTTTCCAAATTGTAATCGGTCTGAAACCCATTTGCTTTACTCAAATTATTTAGTGACTATAAAAGTTTCAGAAACATATGAAAGTTACAAATTAGCTTTAAATGTGTCATGTTTAAAGCAGTTGTTTTAAAAGCTAAGTCATTATCCATTATTATGTAACTAGTATTCTAAATATCACATCTTTGCATTGTTTGACTTTTAAGGCATATGAAATGTTTTGGATCAGAGAAATCATTTGCTTCACATCCCTAAGAGACAGACTCTATGGGTACTGAGTCATGCTAACAGTGGCAAAACCTGACAAACAATAAGCATCATTTTCAAATATTTTAAACATTTCACATAAAAATTTACTTTTAGCATACATTGCAGCCATCGAGGAAGCCTAAAGTAAGGAAAACCTCAGTGAAATATGATGAAGTTAATAAAAAGAAATAGCCATCATTTTATTTGTTTAAATTGCCATTATCTCTCATATAATTATGTACAATATATAACATAGGATAATTAAGTCAAACTGTGTACCTACAGATATGGAGAGCCTTATATTTTAGGAAAAAGTAAAATGTAAATTAACTGGTAAAGATGAGCTTTTCAATCTATAAGGCATAGACACTTTTCCTTGGTGGATTTGAAAAGGTTCTTAGAAATCTGAAAATAAGATAGTTTTTCTATAATAAATGGTAAAAAACACTTTCACATCTTAACCTTATCATAGTATCACAATGCTGGAATGTTTTTACTGGGAAATAAGTAAGCTAATTCAATTATAAATTGCAGTAGAGGAAAGGATGAAGGTTAAAAAACACTATCTATTCAAATCCTTAGTCATGAGGTTGAATTCATTGAATCAGAGTGTGAATATATATCTATATTTGAGACAGAATGTGTATGTATGTGTGTGAGTGTGAGTGTGTGTGTACAGTCATTAGACATTTGCCTCATGGACAGTGGAGGAAAACATTTGCTGAGCTGCTTTCCTACCTTAAAGATTTACAACTGCACTGTTTTCAAGATATACTTTTTATATCTCAAATAATTTAATATATTATGTTTAGTTGTTGATATAACAAGATATCTGAATACCCCATAATTGAAATTATACCTGGAAATAAATACTTGAAATACTTGCTTCAGTGACATTTGTGGAAGTATACTTATTTAAGTTCAAATTATAGGTATATTGAACAAAATGATATTGGATTCTTCACTGGCTGCATACTTCTGAAACTTGTAAATAATTTGAAATTAGTTTCCAAGAACAGAAAGACAAATATTAGATAGGAAATACCAAATTCTTAAGATTCATACATATAAAAGTGAAATAAAAATCAAACTTAATCTTATCATGAATTTTCTACTGTGGCTTACTTTTAGAACTTGTTATAAAAATAGAAATGCTATTAATTTAATTACATTTATTAAAATCTAAAAATAGGTGATTATAGCTAGGACATTGACAAGTGTAACTATACATGAGTAAATATAACTGAGGATAGCAACACATGAAATATATCATAAAATTGAATTATTCTATAAATAGTATTAAGTCTGTATTACTTGGAACTTGATTCCACTTAGAATGTCCCTGCTTTTATTTATTTATTTATTTTTGTAAACAAAATGAGCAAGAGGTTATTACACTTCATTCACTGCGAAAAGGTAACACTACATCAAAGATAACTCACATACTTGCAGAAATATGGAAGGTAGTTCTTTCTTTTTTTTTGTTAAGAAATAGGGTCTCACTATGTTGCCCAGGTTGTAGTGCAGTGACTATTCAAAGGGGTCATCCCACTACTGATAAGCAGAGGAGTTTTATTCTGCTCAATTTTTGAGTTGACCACTCCTTAGGCAACCTGGTGGTCCTCTGCTCCCTGGAAGCTAACATATTGATGCCAAACTTAGTGCAGACACTTCCTCAGCATAGTGCATACAACCCAGAACTCCTGGGCTCAAGTGTTCCTCCCGCCTCAGCATCCTGAGTAGCTGGGACAACAGGTGTGTGTCACCTGGCTGAAAGGTATTTTTAAATACAAATGTTGTCCAGGAGTGACAGAAGCTGGAGAATTGGACTACTTGATGGAGGCTTTGTACAAGCTTTGAACAATAATAACAACAAAATTGAAATGCCAAAAATATTGTTTAGCAGTTAACCACCAATAAAAGGAAGCCAGCCATTTCACACAGAGGATTTTGTTAATTGATTGCGTGATTCAAGGAAATAATATTATTAGGTGTGTATTAGTCCATTATTGCATTGCTATAAAGAAATACCTGAGATTGGGTAATTTATAAAGAAAAGAGGTTTAACTGACTCACAGTTCTGCATGCTGTACAGAAAGAATGTTGCATCTGCTGGGCATGTGGGGAGGCCTCATGAAATGTATAACCATGGTGGGAAAATGAAGAGGGAGCCGGTGCTTCATATAGCTGGGAGCAGGAAGAAAAGTGAGAGGTGAGGAGGTGCTACACCCTTTTAACAACCAGATTTCATAATAACTCACTCACTCACTATCATAAGAATAGCACCAAGGAAATGGTATTAAACCATTAAAAAGAAACCACTCCACAATCCAATAACCTCCCATCAGGCCCCACCTCCAACACTGGGTATTTCAATTTGACATGAGATTTGGTTGGGGACATAGATCCAAACCATATTATTTTGCCCTAGTCCCTCCCAAATTTTGTCTTTCTCAGTTTGCAAAATATAATCATGCCTTCCCATCAGTCCCTCAAAGTCTTAACTCACTTCAGCATTAACTCAAACATCCAAAGTCTGAAGTCTTATCTGAGATGAGGCAAGCCCCTTCTGCCTAAGACCCTGTAAAATTAAAAAAAAAAAAAAAAAAACTCCCAAGATATAATGTATAATGGGGGTACAGGGATTGGGTAAATACTCCCATTTCAAAAGGGAGAAATTGGCCAAAAGTAAGGGGCTACGGGCCCCATGCAAGTCTGAAACCCAGTAGGAAAGTTATTAAGTCTTAAAGCTTAACAATCTCCTTTGACGCCATCCAGGGCATACCACTGCAAGGGGTGAGCTCCCAAAGCCTTGTGCTGCTCCACTCCTGTGACTTTGCAGGGTTCAGCTCCTACAGCTGCTCTCAAGGGCTGGTGTTGAGTGCTTGCACCATTTCCAGGCACACGGTACAAGTGCTGGTGGATCTACCATTCTGGGGTCTGGAAGATAGTGTCCCTCTTCTCATAGTTCCCCTAGATAGTGGTCTAGTAGGGACACTGTGTGGTGGCTCCAACCCCACCTTTCCCCTCTTCAGTGCCCTCGTAGAGATTCTCCATCAGGGCTCTGACCCTGCAGCAGATTTCTGACTGTACATCTAGGTTTGTTCATACATTCTCTGAAATCTAGCCTCAACTCTTGTACTCTGTGCACCCTCAGGCTTAATGCCACATGGAAGCCATCAAGACTTATGGCTTGAACCCTCTGGAGCAGCATCCTGAGCTGTACCTGGGCCACTTGGAGCCATGGCTAGAGCTGCAACAGATGAGATGCATGTAGTAGTGTCCCATTCTTCCTTCGTTGTCCTCTGAGCCTGTGATGGGAGGAGCTGCCACAAAGGTCTCTGAAATGCCCTGGAGGGTATCCCTCATTTTCTTGGCTATCAGCATGTGCCTTCCTTTTAGTTAAGCAAGTTTCTGCAGCTTGCTTGAATTTCTCTCCTGAAAATGGGCTTTTTGTTCTACCACATGGCCAGGCTGCAAATTTTTCAAGTTTCTACACTCTGCTTCCCTTCTAAATATAAGTTTCAGTTTGAGGTCATTTCTTTGCTCACACACATCACAATAGTTTGTCAGAAGTAGTGAGCTTACCTCCTGAATGCTTTGCTGCTTAGAAATTTTTTCCACCAGATACCCACCAGAACTTGAGATACTCTCAAGTTCAAAATTCCACAGATCCCTAGGGCAGGCCCACAGTGCAGCCAACCTTTTTGCTAATGCCTAACTAAAGTGAACTTTGCTCCAGTTCCCATTAAGTTCCTTATCTCCATCTGAGACCTCCTCAGCCTGGACTTCATTGTGAGTCTCTATCAGTAGCTTGGTCACAACAATGTAACAAGACTCTAGTAAGTTCAAAACTTGCCCTCATCTTCCTGTCTTCTTCTGATCTCTCCAAACCCTTCCAATCTCTGCCCACTATCCAGTTTCAAAGCCACTTTCACATTTTCCGGTATGTTTACAACAATATCATATTCCTCTACCAATTTTCTATATTAGTCCTTTCTTACATTGCTCTAAAGAAATACCTGAGACTGGGTAATTTATAAAGAAAAGCAGTTTAATTGGCTCATGGTTCTGCACGTTATACAGAAAGCATGATGCATCTGCTGGGCTTCTGCGGGGGCATCAGTAAGCTAACAATCATGGCAGAAGGTGAAGGGGGAGCCAGCACTTCACATGGCTGGAAGCAGGAAGAAGAGTGAGAGGTGGGGAGGTGCTATACACTTTTAACAACCAGACTCACAATAACTCACTCACTGTCACAAGAACAGCACCAAGGAGATGGTGCTAAACCATTTAAGAGAAACCGCCCGATGATCCAATTGCCTCCCAACAGGCCCCACCTCCAACAGTGGGACTTACAGTTTGACATGAGATTTGGGTGGGGACACAGATCCAAATGATATCAATGTGTTAAAAGGAAAAGGAGATAGCAGTGGGAAATGGATATTTAACTTCAGTTTATGAGTTTTTATTTTAGAGTTCTAAAATTATGTCTTATACTGCCTATACAAGTGCTAGAATAGTTTCTGTATTAAGTGGTAGATATTAATATCCAAATATCATACTTACCTTCTTTGACCTTGCAGTTTAAGACGGCATTTTAAGAAAGTAAACAAACACATTGATTTTTTTTTAAAGGAGACATTTTTCAGTAAAGGATATAAGTATGTTAACATGAGAGATATAGAAAAATTACAGATGGACAGACAATCCTACATAGAAACCTAAGGAAGCATTTAACTCAGACACAGAGATTGAGAAGAGTAAAGTGGGTGAAATCTGGGAAAGAATGCTTCCAGTAGAAGAAACAGAATATTGAAGGAACAGAGATTGATGTCAAGAGTTCAGGGAAACAAACCAGAATAAGAATGTTTAGACAAAAGGCTGATGGTAGAAGGATATTGAGACTGAAAGTTATAGAGAGCACAGGCTTACTCGAAAATTAGTAGACAAAAGAACATCTGTAAGTTCAATCATGAAGGAGTGCCAGAATTAAAGAGAAAATAAGGAAATAATAAAGGGAATCTTTTGATGTGAGGAACCAATTGGGCTACCAACTCAGCCTGCCAGCCTGCCATTCCAGTGACAGTAGGAAATAAATGTTCTGTAAGTTATTTGGAAATTAGAGGACAAAGTAATTGTTTGTTCTATAGGTAGAGAAACATTTTTGTAAATGATAATACAGCTGTTCTACCGATTTCTCTTAATTTTCAAAATTTTTGAAGGGGTACACTATATTTTCATGATTTGTTCATTCTGATTTCCAACTCATATTTGTTCATCATTTTCTCTTTACTTTTTAAAAAGTTGAAAGACATTCGTGTCACAAAATTTTCACAGGATAATTTTTCTAGTTGCAACTGTAGATTTATGTGGATATATACAAGTCTCTCTAGTGACACATCTAAAGATTAATGTTATGTTCTGTTCCATAGGGAGCAAATATACCACATGAAACATCGCAACTATGAATCCAACTAGACTGTATGGGAAACATATATTGAAAAATAAATTAAAATTATAAGTTCTATGAGAAAACACAAACATTTGAGTAAAAAAATGAGAAAGGTTTAGTGGTGACTTCTTCCCATGTTAGAAAAAAGGATTCATAATGAACAACTTTTTTTTCATGTATTTCCTACAATTGAGTAAAATAATAGGACTAGGTAAGTTTACTGGTTTGCATTTTTTCATCTGGGTCTGGTTTTCCATTTCAATTGTTAGCCATTGTATTAACTACTTTCACCATTCAAAGGAATGAATGATCTGCCATAGTATTTTCTGCAGTTCCATCTCTTGTTTTCAGTATCATTCCAATTCTGCATCTATCTAATTTTGATCTCTGTTCTATTTATTTTCCTGATTCATAACATTTTGCTTTGTGCTGAGCTCCTAATTGTCTCTCTGTCATTCTCAACATTTTAGCCCTATGGTCTAAAAGATGCCCAAAAGAATGTAGCATATTCTAGTATATCAGTGGGACAACATAAACAACTTGCTTAATTGTTAATCTATTTAAAAGTGAAACAGTGTTTTTCATTTTTTCAATCAATTTAATGCTGACTAGATCCTATAACTACATTCTACTTTTTATAACTAAAGAACTCCAGAAAAATAAATGTAATAGCTTTGCTGGAAAAGATTAACCTTACAATGCCTTCCTAATGC
This sequence comes from Homo sapiens, assembly GCF_000001405.40. NCBI lineage: Eukaryota > Metazoa > Chordata > Mammalia > Primates > Hominidae > Homo > Homo sapiens. Next base: position 67,796,180 of record NC_000009.12, read on the forward strand.
CCTTACTTTTTTTTTTTTTTTGAAAAGTGTTTTCTGGTACACAAAAATAATATTCTGAAATATCTCTCTGATATTTGATTGCCGGATTTAACCTACATACCTCTGAACCTTGGTTTTTCAGACATGCAAACTGCTTAACAAGTTCCAATGCATTAATCAATGCACCATTGCATAACTTACAGTAAGAAAAGTTGGTAGATATTTCAGCAATGCCATAAAATATGCTTCCATTTAACACTTTGAGACAACCAATACACTATTTATATTATTGAGACAAAACAAACCTAAGATCACAGAAAAATATTTATTTTAATAGAATGGTATTTAAGTAGATAGTTTTTTTGTTGTGTTTTTGTTTGTTTGTTTGTTTGTTTGTTTTTGAGATGGAGTCTCCCTCTGTCGCCCAGGTTGGAGTTCAGTGGCCCAGTCTTGGCTCACTGTAACCTCCCCTTCCCAAGTTCAAGCAGTTCTCCCTGCCTCAGCCTCCTGAGTAGCTGAAATTACAGGCATGCACCACCACGCCTGTTTAATTTTTGTGTTTTTAGTAAAGATGGGATGTCACTATGTTGGCCAGGCTCGTCTTGAAATCCTGACTCCTGACCTCAGGTGATCTGCCCACCTTGGCCTCCCAAAGTGTAAGTAGATAGTCTAAATGATTATGGGTTTTAATAGGTTTTGTTAATTTGTTTTAGTTGACATACAAGAGCACTACAAAACCACATTATTTTATTTTAATTTTTATCAGTAAACTTCATTATATTAAAGGCCATATTGCCCACTGAATATGATTTTGATAAGCACAACTTCTATAATTTACAACTTACTGTATATGGTCTAATATAAATTACATTTAGCTATCTTGAATAAAAGATATGAATCCCCAAAAACTTAATATATAAAATAATTTCTACAATCAATTAAGCCACATGGGGCCTGGTGTGCAAGGGCTGCAAACAGCATCATCCTAGGTAGTGTACAGCAGCCTGTTCCTTGCGTACAACAGCCTTTGCCATTGGACATTTATGTCTTGGATCTAGTGCTTTCCCTAGTCTAGGTTTAAGACCGGATGTAGTATGCCTTTGGAAAGCCTCAGGACCCAGAGGTCAGAGTTCACATTGGCCATGTTCATCCATACCAAGCTGCAAACCCTGGAGCATGTGACTGAGGCCTTATTTAGGGCCAAATTCAAGTTCAGTGAATGCCCAAAAAGCCACATCTCAAAGAAGTGCGATTTTACTAAGTTTAATGCATATACATTTTAAGACTTGGTGGCTGAGAAACAACTCATCCTGGATGGCTGTGGGGCCAAATATAGCCCTGGAATCATGGGCCCCTGGACAAGCAGCTAGCCCTGCATTAGAAAAGAGCTGTCCCCTCTTTACGCATGCCCACCAGTGAATTCTATTTCCTGTACATCTAATAAATCAATCTATCTATCTATCTATCTATCTATCTATCTATCTATCTATCTAAATAATTCAATAATATGCAGTAGATTAAAAAAATAAACACAACTTGATGTCTAACTACTGTGGATATATTTTGTCATTTATTAACATTCCCCTTTCAGGTTAATATCAAGTCAACAAAAATTTGGAGTTCTCTTGACCCTTTCCCCAATGTGTAAATTAGTAATATAATGTCAATATTCAGACAGGCAAATAAACTAAGCTCCCTTTGATGAAAACGACATGCAGTAACGCTTCCCTACTGAGAATCATCTTAGTTTGTGAAATCATAATCTGGAATGGCTATATCTGCAAAATACATTAAAAGAAAGAAAATATGAAAAACATAATCTACAATACTTTTATGTATATCTAATCATTTTATATTTCTTTTTTATTATACTACTTGAAATACATACATAAAGGATAAAGAGTTTCAACAAATCTCAAAAAGGAAACCTAATTATGTATAATATTCTGACTGATTTTGTTTGCTTACCAAATTGAAATTGAAAAGAAAAAATACAGCACTCTATAAAAAAATAAAATGATTTCAAAATATAATTATTGTCTCCCTTTGAAAATATAAATGTTTAAATAATGGTGAAATAGAGAACATAAACATTCACAAATATTACATATCCATTCAACATTTTCAGGTATTATTTTGTTTTGTTCAAACCTCCCCTTCTGTCATTTTTCTCTCCTTTCTTTATCTTTAGCATAACTGAGCTGCTTTCCAAACATCTATAGTTATACCGGACATAGCATTTTCCAACATCAAACATGGTTTTTCTTAAACACCAGTTCCAAATATTAATTCCCAGGGAAAATGACATTTTCCATATATGAGAAATATTGGAACCAATATAACAAAACTCATTAACATTTATAACATTTGAAAATAATTTCACAAAAGTTTTATTTAAAAAAATTTTATTGTAAATTTATGTAAGAAATTCTCTATCCATTATATGACTTGTATAACATCCACAGTATACTAAGAAAATATTTTTAAAATATAGGATAAGGTGTCTAAGTAATAAATTTTTAAGACTGCTTAGAGCCACTATTAAAAATCTGAGAATAAGGCATGAATATTTTTTTTTTTTTTTTTTTTTTTTTGAGACGGAGTCTCGCTCTGTCGCCCAGGCTGGAGTGCAGTGGCGCGACCTCGGCTCACTGCAAGCTCCGCCTCCCGGGTTCACGCCATTCTCCTGCCTCAGCCTCCCGAGTAGCCGGGACCACAGGCGCCCGCCACCACGCCCGGCTAATTTTTTGTATTTTTAGTAGAGGCGGGGTTTCACCGCGTTAGCCAGGATGGTCTCGATCTCCTGACCTCATGATCCGCCCGCCTCTGCCTCCCAAAGTGCTGGGATTACAGGCGTGAGCCACCGCGCCCGGCCGAATATTTTTTGATCTATAGAGATTATATATCGGCATGCTGGCATTGGCTTTTATTACAGAATAAGCATTTTAATCTTCATTCACTCTCATCAATTCATTATAGAAACCAGCTTAAAAAAAAAGACCACCACTTGTAGAAAACAGTTAATATTTCGATGGTTTACCTGGAAGTTTACTGGGCATAAATTTATAAAATACATTTATGGATGGAAATAAACTGTTTTACTAAACAATATTACAGAATTCTGAATAGATGCTGATTAAGCAGCAAATGAACAAAACTGTTTATTTACCAGTTTGGTGGCTATGATGCTAATTAGATCATCTGTTTAAAATGTGTCCATATGGACAATTTTTCTGTAAATGTTTTCTTTATCTCCACATTGTGTGGTAGTATTTTCATAGAACCAAGTAGAAATTAACTTAAAAACTAGTTATTTAAAGATGACAATAGAAGGTTTTGAACTTTGAGTTCCAAAAGGCAAGCAAATATTTCTGAAATAAAATATATTATATATATTTAATTTCTAATTTAATTTACATATAAAATATTTTTAAAATTCCTGTGAATTTGAGATATTTTCACATTGATTGGACTGTTTTTGTACCTCATTTTGCTTGGTCACACTAAAGTGAGATTCATCATCTTGTGGCACCAAAGGAAAACTAGTGTGATTATAAGGAAATTATTACAGTTAGACAACTGTGCATTAATTTCATCATTAAGGACCAAACATGTATACAGATATAAATACTTTTCTCAATACATTACTTGCAACATATGCACAATTATGTAACAATTATGGTGAACTAAGTCTCCTAGAAATTTCCAAAATATTTTTTTTGCCTTTTTTTAACCTCTAAATCCATATAAATCAAGGGAAAATATTCTTGCACATATGTATATTTAAACATGAACCTAACCAAAAGTAAGAGAAATTTGAAAAAGTATAACATATCAAAATGTGGAAATTTCTGTGTTTAGGGAAAAATCTATCCCATTAAGAGCTTGCATTAGAAAAGAAAAATTACCTTGAAATTATGATGAAAGCTTCCAACTTGTTATTATAAAAATGAGAACAAATTAATTCTGAAGCAATCAGAAAGAAGAAAATAATAAAGGTTAATGAAGAAATAAACAACATTAAATGGAGAAAAATTATATAGCTAAGTAAATTAAACTAAATTTAGATCTTTGAAGGGATCAATAAAATTGTTAAATCTCTGGCCAGACTATGGAGAAAATAATAGGAAATAAATAATTTACAAATTTTAAGAATGACAGAAGTGGCTGGGGGTGGTGGCTCATGCCTGTGATCCCAGCACTTTGGGAGGCCGAGGCAGGCGGATCGTTTGAGGTCAGGAGTTCCAGACCAGCCTGGCCAACATAGTGAAGCCCTGTCTCTACTAAAAATACAAAAATTAGCCGAGCGTGATGGCGCATGCCTGTATTCCCAGCTACTCGGGAGGCTGAGGCACAAGAATTGCTTGAAGCTGGGAGGTGGAATTTGCAGTGAGTAGAGATGAGGCCACTGCACTCAAGCCCGGGCGACAGAACGGGACTCTGTCTCAAAACAAATAAACAACAAAAAAAGAATGATAGAAGTAACATTTCCATTGTCCTACAACAGTTTAAGGATAACTAAATGAATACCATGATGAAATTTATAAATGTAAATTAGTTAATTTAGATTAAGTGTATAAATCCCTCAAAAGATACAAACTAAGGCAAACTCAAAAAGAAAGCAATAAAATGCACATCCCTATATATCTGTTTTAAATTTATTAATACCCACCTAGATAAACGAACTGACAAATTTTACTAATATTTAAGGAGATATAATTTATACATTACACAAAAGTTTAAGAAATAAAAAAGAGGAAACACTTTTCTTTTTTTTTTTTTAATAAGAGGTTGCTTTGTACTTTTTTTTTTATTATACTTTAAGTTTTAGGGTACATGTGCACATTGTGCAGGTTAGTTACATATGTATACATGTGCCATGCTGGTGCGCTGCACCCACTAACTCGTCATCTAGAATTAGGTTTATCTCCCAATGCTATCCCTCCCCACTCCCCCCACCCCACAACAGTCCCCAGAGTGTGATATTCCCCTTCCTGTGTCCATGTGATCTCATTGTTCAATTCCCACCTATGAGTGAGAATATGCGGTGTTTGGTTTTTTGTTCTTGCGATAGTTTACTGAGAATGATGATTTCTAATTTCATCCATGTTCCTACAAAGGACATGAACTCATCATTTTTTATGGCTGCATAGTATTCCATGGTGTATATGTGTCACATTTTCTTAATCCAGTCTATCATTGTTGGACATTTGGGTTGGTTCCAAGTCTTTGCTATTGTGAATAATGCCGCAATAAACATACATGTGCATGTGTCTTTATAGCAGCATGATTTATAGTCCTTTGGGTATATACCCAGTAATGGGATGGCTGGGTCAAATGGCATTTCCAGTTCTAGATCCCTGAGGAATCGCCACACTGACTTCCACAATGGTTGAACTAGTTTACAGTCCCACCAACAGTGTAAAAGTGTTCCTATTTCTCCACATCCTCTCCAGCACCTGTTGTTTCCTGACTTTTTAATGATCGCCATTCTAACTGGTGTGAGATGGTATCTCATTGTGGTTTTGATTTGCATTTCTCTGATGGCCAGTGATGATGAGCATTTGGTACAAGGAGGAACTGGTACCATTCCTTCTGAAACTATTCCAATCAATAGAAAAAGAGGGAATCCTCCCTAACTCTTTTTATGAGGCCAGCATCATTCTGATACCAAAGCTGGGCAGAGACCCAATAAAAAAAGAGAATTTTAGACCAATATCCTTGATGAACATTGATGCAAAAATCCTCAATAAAATACTGGCAAAACGAATCCAGCAGCACATCAGAAAGCTTATTCACCATGATCAAGTGGGCTTCATCCCTGGGATGCAAGGCTGGTTCAATATACACAAAGCAATAAATGTAATCCAGCATATAAACAGAGCCAAAGACAAAAACCACACGATTATCTCAATAGATGCAGAAAAAGCCTTTGACAAAATTCAACAACCCTTCATGCTAAAAACTCTCAATAAATTAGGTATTGATGGGACGTATTTCAAATTAATAAGAGGAAACACTTTTCAACATGTTTTATGAGTCTACCGTTATCCCCATACCAAAACCATAAAACAGACATTACAAGAAAATGTCCTGTAGACAAATATGTATTTTGATGATGAATTTAGATTTCAAAAACTTCAGCAAAATATTATCCAATTAAATCCTCTCATGTCTGTGTGTGTGTGTGTGTGCATGCACGTGTGTTTGTAAAATATATCATTACTAATTGGCGTTTATCTTGGGAGTTCAAGATGGTTTCCATATTCAATCAACCCATCAATGTGGACTATGGTCACTTGAAAAGACCAGCAAATCCTCTGCACAAAAGGCCACTAGAAATTCATTAAAGCAGCCTTCCATCATTCTCGAAATTGACCAAAGCATTCAACTACCTGAGAAATATTTATGTTTGGAAAGCTATTGAAATGCAATTAAAAATATCAGGAAACCTGTTTTTACCTTTTGTCCTAATCTTGCTAAATCCTTCTTAATTTTAGGAGACACTGCTTCTCCTTCCACTGTTCTTTTACTTTCTCCTTCCCCTTTGTTTTTGCCTCCCCCTTCCTCTCCCTTTTCTACATTCCTTCTCTCTCCTAAATGCTGTATAAATTTCTACATATGTAATCATATTATTTACAAATAGGAACAGTTTTACTTATTTCTTTCCAGTCTGCATTTATTTTATTCTTCCTTTTTTTCCTTACACACTGGATAGAACTCTAAGTATTATGTTGAAAAAGAGTGATAAAAGCAAACATCTTTGCTTTATTCCTGAGCATACATGTGGAAAACATTCAGTGTTTCACAGCTAAATATGATGGATTTTTTGTATGCTCTTTATCAAGATGAAGGAATTTTCTGCTATTTCTGGTTTGCTGAATTTTTATCACAAGTAACTGTTGAATAGTGTCTTTTTCCCCTGCATTTATTGAACTGATCATGCATTCTCCTATTTTAGAATATTAATATGATGAACTATATTATTAGATTTTTTAAAATATTGCAACTGTCTTGCATTTCTGGAATAAACATGGCTTGGTCATGTGTCACTTTTTTACATAGTGTCGTATTCAAGTTGTCGAGGATTTTGCATCTAGGGTATATTTGTAGATTTGCATCTAGGTTATGTTGGTCTAAAGTTTTGTTTGTTTGTTTTCCTTTTCTTTTTTTTTATCATCTTTGTCTTCTTCTGTTTAAGTGTCATGCTTGCTTCATAAAATGAATTGAGAAGCATTTCTTCCTCTTCTGTTTCTCGAAAATTGTAGAGAACTCTTGTTTTTTGTTGTTGTTTGTTTGTTGTTTTGTTTTTTCTTATTTTTATCCTCATACTGAGAACCAAACAGTCTGGAGTGTAAAACATGGTTCCTCATTCCAGTTAAATCTAGTATACAATGACAACAACCCTCTTGGGTTAAGCATTGGCCTACAAACAGAAAAAAACCTTCAGGGAGATAGATGCTGATCTAGGCATTGTGAGAAAAGCTGAATTCATTTTTAATCATGAATGGCTTTTAAGGAAAGAAGATTTATTAACTAAAATAAATAGATTAGAGGGAATTCTCACCTATGAGAGAGGAAGGGATGGGATTCAACCTGGAAAAAGTAATGAAGTTTTAGTGAACTTGGTAAGGTAGACTCAACAATTAATGATGGATAATGCTAGGACCCAACACTGGTAATGAGTTTGTATTATGACTCAATAGCATCACTTTATCACTTTAACACAGATGGAGGCCTAAATAACCATAGGGTAATGGTTCTTCTTAGATGCAGAAGGACACATTTATATAATCTTAGGGACCCCATCTCTGAGGTCACTCATAATTTATATTAATTCATTGTTATTGCCATTGCCCCAAGAATAGATAAGGATAAGACATCCTGTAGTACAGGTAGCAGAGATATAAACTATTCTTATTCTTGTGTCTTGTCTATAGGAAGGGAGTGTATCCTGGTGTAAGACAGCATATAGTAGAGACCATTGTCAATTAGGGCCTGTGAACTAAGACAGGGTGACTGGCTAAGTCCACAACCCATTAGAAACCCAGAAATAATCAAATCATGGTGAGTAGTAATAACACTTATTTATAATACTATACGGTATAAAGACAAGAACCAATTATGTTGAGTAGCTGTAACAAATAGCTCTATCATTCGTAATAACTTTTTCTGTAATAAAACTGAATTGTAACATGATCATACTGCAATATGACATTACACTAGCATTGTTGGTAAGATTCAACTATCTTATGTAGAGAAGTTATATAATGCTTATATTGATAATCAAATGTATTAAGATATTGAGTTAAAGCCTCTTCAGAATGTAATCTGGGTGAATAATAAATGGTCTGAGAAAACAGAATTCAGCTAACCATTATCTAATTTCAATGCTAAATAGTTCTGCACAGATTTATCAAAAAGTAAAAATAAAAGCAGATTGAGAGGAGGAATGAGTAATTTTGTTTGTACAAAATATTAAAGTGTATGTAATGGGCTTGTAGGATGCATTAGTAATTTTTAAAAATCAATCTTTACCCTACACTGTGTCCATAAAATGCTAGGCATATTCATGTTAATATTACTGTTGTTACTGTCATATAAATGCCATATTCAATGTAGATGCTCAGAAAAATATGATTGTTTTGCTACAGGAGAGATTAGACCAGGGACAATAAATATGGATTAGGCAAGAATGTGTTAACTCAGCAGCCCAGGGTTTTTTCAACCCTGCACATTCAAAGGTAAGGTTTGTTTTTAGGACTAGCTAGCCTCTGAGTTCTGGAAATAGTCTTACCGTGAAGAGTGTTTTTGTATATCTGAGGCCTTGGGTTTATGGTGAATGACTGACTTTATATGCCTGAGGCCCTGAGCCATGCTGTATTTATTTGAACCATGTGGTATCAATTTAACCAGATACGTTTATTCTAAGATATGATTTATGCTGAATGCCTGGTTTTGTTCTAGAGGGATCATGGAAAGGAAGCTGAATTTGCCAAGTTTTGCCACTTGGGCATTGCATGCCTATGTGATTAACCACCAATAAAAACCTGGGACATCAAAGAATAAATAAGCTGCTCTAATTGCCAAGAATTCACATGTGGTTGTATGCAGCTTTACTGGGAGACTGAAGTGTATCTGCATGTGATTCTGCTGTGATGGACACTTGTAAGTTTGTGCCTGGAGTCTCCTGGACTTTGCCCTGAGAATCTTTTTCCTTTGTTGATATGACTCTGCATCCTTTTGTTTTAATAAACTGTAAACATGAGTATAATTGCTTCTCTGAGTTCTGAGAGTTTTTTAAATAATCAAAGCTGAAGAGCAATGGAGACCCCCACCAAAACATCTTTACACATTTCAATTTTGTATTGAAGTAAATTTTATTTTCTTTTTTATACCTCCCATATATATTCTATTTTTCTCATTATTATTTATTTTATCCCAAATCTTTTATCTGTGATCATTTTCCTTTGTTTGAAATTTGTCTTTTGACGTTTCTTTGGAAGGTGCTTTTGGATGATAAATTTTCTGTTATTCTTTGTCTAAAATGTCATTATTTTGACTCATTTATAAAAGGAGTTTTTGTGTTTTATAAACCTCTAATGTATAGAAGTGTGTCTAAACTCATTGAGGATATTTTCCAAATTTTTTCCTACTTTTTATTGCTGTTGATAAGAAGTCAGTGTTGGTATTTTGACATTTAAGTTATGTGTCATTTTGTTGTGGTAGTTCTGAAGATCTTCCCTCTGTTTTATATTCTCCTTCACCTTTCATAAATGTACTTTATATTTATTTGGTAATAAATTTTGAACATATACTATGCTATAAAGATAATCTAGGCCCTTTGGTTACATCTTGTAAATAAAATCAACAAAATCTGTTTTGAGATTATATTGTAATATAAGATACCCAAAGTAACTAGGATGTGTACCATATGTTTGAAGGTGGTAAATACGATGAGAAAAATAGATCAGGTCAGGAAGAATGAAGATGATTGAAGGTACAGTTTATGATGAAAACTTAGGTGTGCCGAGGAATGATTCATCTTATGTATCTTGAGTGTAATGTCTTATTTCTCCTGAATCTGAGAATTTGATGTCTTTCATTAGGGATGTCAGTAAATCTCACTAATGAATATATTAGACTCCAGTTTAATATATGATAGTCATTTTCATTCTGTCTTTCATATCACTGAATCCTTTCTCTTTATTGTTCATTTTTATACATCTCTTAATAGTCAAAGTGAATTTAACTATGTTTTACGTTATGTGGTTATTCTCACTTTAGCTATCTCTAACATATTATGAATGTGTCAGTTGTGTGTTTACCGTTGTTTGAATTAAACTTTTAAATCATTCATTTTAATTCTTACTTAATTCAAACTTGTTTGTTATACATTCTTATAATTCCAGTATCTGGAGTCTTTCTTCATGTGATTCTTTTATCTCCCTGTTTTCCTCCTATATTCTTTTCATGCACCATCTTTCTCTGTGTGTTTTGTTTTGTTTTACTGTCAATTCCTAACTAATAGAAGTATATTTATGCAAATAATTTTAGGATAGAATTGAAATAGGTTTCCCAAAAGGATTATATAAATTTGTTTGTACCAAGGGCCCAGGGTTATAAACAGAATGAGATCACTTTAAATTTCTGTCTTGAGGATTTTCAAGTTACACAGGTCATATTAGTGAGAACCCCAGAAAAGGGCATTCTTTTTTTTTTTTTATATTTCACTTTACGTCCTGGAATACATGTGCAGAACGTACAGGTTTGTTACATAGGTATACATGTGCCATGGTTGTTTGCTGCACCTATCAACCCGTCATCTAGGTTTTAAGCCCCACATGCAGGTATTTGTCTTAATGCTCTCCCTCCCCTTGCCCTCCACCCCCAACAGGTCCCGGTGTGTAATGTTCCTCTCCCTGTGTCCATGTGCAGAACCTGCAGTTTTGTTACATAGGTATACATGTGCCATGGTGGTTTGCTTCACCCTTCAACTCGTCACCTACATTAGGTATTTCTCCTAATGTTATCCTTCCCCTAGGCCCCCGCCCCCTACAGCCCCTCCCTGATGATCCCCTCCCTGATGATCCCCTCCCTGTGACCATGTGTTCTCATTGTTCAACTCCCACTTATGAAAACATGTGGTGTTTGGTTTTCCTGTGTTAGTCTGCTGAGAGGGATGGCTTCCAGCTTCATCCATGTCCCTGCAAAGGACACAAACTCATCCTTTTTTATGGCTGCATAGTATTCCATGGTGTATATGTGCCACATTTTCTTTATCCAGTCTATCATTGATGGACATTTGGGTTGGTTCCAAGTCTTTGCTATTGTAAATAGTGCTGCAATAAACATACGTGTGCCTGTGTCTTTAGAGTAGAATAATTTATAATCCTTTGAGTATATACCCAGTAATAAGATTGCTGGCTCAAATGGTATTTCTAGTTCTAGATCCTTGAGGAATCACCATACTGTCTTCCACAATGGTTGAACTAATTTACACTCCCACCAATAGTGTAAGAGTGTTCTCTTACTACACTTCCAATTTGGCTGGACTTTGAACTTTGTCTCTGGTCCCCTGCTTTTTACAGTCCCAAGAAACATGGCCTCATCCTTATCAAGACCAGAGAATGCTCTCAAGGTAAAACCTTAATTTTCATAAAATTATTGTCTTCTTGCCTGATCATTGTGACACTAAAGCAAGATTTTTTTAATGTTTCATCCAACTTTTAAGAATTATTTTAGTGGTAGGACTGAGCCAGGTTTCTAATCCACACTACTGCAGATAAAAAAATGACAAAAGGTAACTTTCAAAAATAGAGGCCGGGCGTGGTGGCTCACGCCTATAATCCCAGCACTTTGGGAGGCCAAGGCGGGCAGATCACGAGGTCAGGAAATTGAGACTATCCTGGCTAACACGGTGAAACCCCGCCTCTACTAAAAATACAAAAAAAATTAGCCGGGCGTGGTGTCCGGTGCCTGTAGTCCCAGCTACTCGGGAGGCTGAGGCAGGAGAATGGTGTGAACCCACAAGGTGGAGCTTGCAGTGAGCCGAGATCGCGCCACAGGACTCCAGCCTGGGCGACAGAGAGACACTCCATCTCAAAAAAAAAAAAAAAAAAAAAAAAAAGAAATTCATCTTTTTTCATGAAAGATTTATTATACATTCTAAATAAAATGGAGATAGAAAGTTAGCATTTGAACTTTAAAGTTGTTAGCATAAGGAGCAATGAAAACTAAATTTCTCCTGGGAGTTACTCATTTTTCTGGGTTGTAAATGAATGCCATATTATTTTTTGATGTTTAATGTAAAATATTATTGACTGTAATAATCCAATATGATCTAGGATATTCAGTCTTACACAACATAGGGATACAGTATAGGTTGATGTACATCCAAAATTATAACACACTTTGTTCAAACACAATGCATATTACATTTTCCTGTAGCTCAAATCTGTGTTATCTGTATTATTAAGAGATATAAGGAGAGGATTCAAAATAATAGCTGAAGAATTCTCATTAATTTTATGAATCTAGTAGATCAAAATGTTACTCTAACATTAATAATTTCATAATACAGACTGTGAGGCTTACATAAATCTGTTTCAAAAAATGTATAGCACTCTTTAGCTTTCATGTTGTAAGACATTCAGAATATAATCCAAAATAAAGTTGTAATAAATTATTGCATTTTAATGAGTATTTTAACATAAAATGTGAGTTTGGGATTATTATAAATCCAAAGACACATAAACTCAGTTTCTAAAAGATATGATTGAGGGGAAATCATGATTTATTATATCTTCATTTTATCAAAAAAAGACACAGTTATTATTTATAATAAAAATGATTACAATGCACACATACTCTTTTGTGAGTTGCCACAGAATTTTCTATTACCAAAACCTGTCAAGTTCAACACATGTCTAGAATATGTATAAATAAAGGTTGATCTGTGATATTAGATATTATCAAATAAAAAATATTCTTATTGAAAAAAATGTGATTCCTTATGACAACTTCAGGGCATCTTCTATTTGCCCCCTGTCATCAACAGGGGAAATTTTCTTTCCTACATTTCTCACTAATCATTTCTGACAAGTAGTTGGCAAGCTTAACTATAAAGGGTCGTCCATAGGGTTCTAGGTCAACCTTACCCTTTGGGAAGAAAGTATACATGATGTCTATGAATAAATGCCCTCCAACAAAGGAAAAGGACAATGCTTTACATAGTGTGTGCATAATCATTTTTCAACATAATTAGCTTATTTGTGACATGATTTTACTGTCATTGCAGGTGTTTGACATGACCCACGCTTTTTCTTTGTGCCAAGAAATACAATGGTTTTGTATTACATTAATACTTTAGATCATCTATAATATGAGTCAGGTTTGGTTAAAAAACATATAAAAATAAAAATCTCAGTTCTATTTAAAATACTAATGAAAATATCTTACCAAAGTAAGACATTAGCAATGCATTATCTGTCACTTGATATTTTGTGTGTTTGCTCATTTCAACAAGGGAAAGAGAATTAGAAAATTGGAAGAAAAATATTTAAGTAATTCTTGTAAAATTAATATACATATTAAATATCATGAAGGGTAGAAACAGAGTTAACATTTAAAATGTTTATAACTAATGTGTAAATTTAATTGAAAGCCAACTGATTGCTCTGAATTTTTATGAGGAATAATCACAATTGTACAGAAAATAACTGACACCGAAAGTATCTACCTTTTCACATTTAAATGCAAGTGACTTTTTGTTCATTCATTCAAAAATTATGGATTATTATACTTTAGCTTAAATGTTTGTCTCCCCTCTAAAAGCCATTTTGAAACTTAATCCTCAATGCAATAGTATTAAGAAGTCAGGCCTTTAGGAGTAATTAGGCCATGAGGACTCTGTACTCATAGATGGGATTAGTGCATTACAAAAGGGCTGAAGGGAACTAGCTAATGTAAGGACACAGCATTCAAGTTACCATTTTAGAAGCAGAAACTGGGACCTCACTTGGTGCCAAACCTGCCAGAACCATGGTTTTGAACTTTTCAGCCTCCTGGACTGTGAGAAACAAGTTTCTGTTCTTATCAGTCTCAGCTATTTTGTTACAGAAGCACAAGCGAACTGAGACCTGAGATGGGAGTGTTTATGTGCTAGGTATGGAGCTAATTTCTGAATAAATAAAGATGAATACATTCTATGACCTCATCATCTAGTGCCTGTTACAGTCATGCAGTGGATATTTTTTCTTGCCTTCTTATTACTCATTTTTGCTCTCCTCACTAAATATTGAGGAAAACATGAATGCATCATCAGTTTTTCCACTGATACAACTGTTTAAGAAGTACATATGACATTATATTTTTTCTTTCTGTATTCTGTAGACTTACCTGTAAAGTCTAAGGCTAACATTGACTTTATGCTAATTAGTACTGTGTTCATTTCAGATGTGTAATATGCCTTGTACAAATATAAATAGATAAAACATTAAAGGTGCTACTACTCAAAACACACAGGGAATAAAATATTCTATTTGAAACATCAACATAGAGTTTACACTGAGGGAAATTTTTATTCATTAGTTTAAATGGGGCAAAATACAATAAATATTATTTGGTTAAAATAGAGAAAGTTAAGTGGAAAGATGAAATGATGAAGAGCGCAGAGAAAATTGTTCAGTTTGCATACAAATTGGGAAATTAACACCTAACCTGCCTAGGTAGAATTTCATAGCGTTAACTAAAATAATTACTTAAACTTACAAGATTTATTAGAAAAATATGAATAGAAAAATAAAATGCATTGTTGCATTTTATGTAATTTTACTTGAACTTAGTTTATAACATGTACATAGATTAAGTTGATTTAAATATTTTATGTACAAAAAACTATATTGTTGAAGATTCTAAGAGCTTAAAACTAAAATACAAGATAAACATTTACTTTACAAAAATAGTAAATAAGATGAAGAATTTGAAAGAATTTAAGAATTAATTTCAGTTTCTTTTCCAAAATGTATGTGGTTAGCCTACAATGCTTTTACAATCTGTTATTTTATGAGTATGAATATTGATTTTATTATTACCTAAACATGTATTATTTTTAAAGTATGGCAAAAGAATTAAAGTTCTATAGTTTGACAAAGCTGTAAAGCAGATCAATCCTTTGACAGCTTAATGAATAAAGCATGCATGTAGTTGACACTAATTCATTTAATAAACATTTGTAGAACATATATGTGTAAGAAATTGTGCTAAGGAGATGAATGGCACATTAAAATAAGAAGACAAGTTTCCAGATACTAAGGAGTTTATGTAACTGTAAGGTACATAAAACAATACAAATGAAAAGGCTAAAATAAGTCAGAAAATGAAGGGAAGAAAACAAATATCCATATTAAGTATACATAATATCTCAAATATTCTTTAAGATGTCTTAAATAGATTTTAATATTTAATCCTAATGACAGGATAATCTGATTTATTACAGACGATATAATTGAGGCTAATACAAATCTGTTGACTTTAAATTTTCAAAGTCTTCCTGAATTATTTGACTGTATAATATTTTGGTAAACATAAATAAGTGGATACTAATGCATTGAAACAGAAACAGAATACTGTTCAAGAAATAGAAAAAAATGAAACAATAGAAAAGATCAAATTTGTAGTATGACTACAATTTAAGATTTAATAAAGACAAAAATAGAAACCAATATGTAGTTAGGAGGATAGAAAAAAGTACAGTGGACCCTCCATATCCATAGGTTCTGCATGTGTGGATTCAACCACCCATGGATCAAAAATATTTGGAAAAACATTTATGAAAAAGTGAACACATATGGAATTCTGCCTTGTCATTATCCCCTAAAGAACACACTATAACTACCTACATAACATTTACATTGTACTTGGTATCATAAGAAATCTAGAGATGATTTAAAGTATGTGACAGTGTGGATGTAGGTGTATAAAATACTATTATACATCATTTTATGGAAGGGTCTTGAGCATCTGTAGATTTTTGTGTCTGAGGGTTCCTAGAACCAGTACCCCACAAATACAGGGGAACAACTGTAATGAGTTCCTAGTAAACTAGGCTGAAGTATTATAACTGTACACAAAATAATTTAAGGCAGAATGATTAAATAATATATAGCAGTATGTATAAGAAGTGAAGATAATTGAAAATTAAATTGATAGGAAAGACATGACAAATATAATGAAATCAATGGAAAAGCTAAAACTTTAGCAAGATGTACAAGCAAGGATTGGGTAGATTTCATCTGAAAGATGTAATTTCTAATGACAAAGTACTTTAATAGTCTAGCCTAATATTTTATTGTACCTTAAAACTTCCCTCTGGCTCATTCTGGTCTTATCACACCAGCTTTCTTATGGCTTCTTTTATCTGCCAAGAATTATGCTCTGGTCTAATTGACCTCCCCAAATTTGTATATTAAAATTCTCACCACCAAGGTGATAATAGTAAAAAATGGGCAATTTGGTAGGTGACTGGATCATGGGAGTGGAGCCCTTATGAAAGGTGCCAGAGAGACCCCTCCCTCTTCCACCATGTGAGGTTAGACTGAGAAATACATCTCTGTGGTTTATAAGCTGCTCAGTCTATGGCATTTTGTTATAGCAGCCCATGCTAATGAATACAGATGACCGTGTGTCTGCAGACCTTCCTAGGAAATTATTGAGTCCTTCATTGAATACTAAACTGTGAATACATGAGAGAAAATAACAGAAGCCTGGGGTAAAATGCCAACACAAAGGGTTTGAAGAACAATTCTCAAAGCTCAAGAAAACTCTGCAAATATTATTGTTGCCACAAACCAAAGTAGAAGACAGGGTAATATATGAGCTATTAGGTAGAATCTTTGGAAGAATCCTGCTTTTGTGATGGAACTCACTCATTCCTAAACCTAAAGCAACTCTACATCTTCTCTAAGAAAATTTTATAGCAATCTCTAAAAGCATCAAACTGATTCCAAATAATTTAACTGTGTTTGAGAACAAAATACAAATATACAAAAGGAATTCAACAAAATCCATCACATAACAATATAGAATTCACAATATCTGGTTTTGATGAACATAATAATTAGTGTTGAAACATGTTAATTCAGTTGTTAAAAATATGCTTTATTTTTTCAAATAAGATGGGAAAATATGTATATTATGAGAAAATAAAAATGGAAGAAATAAAAACAAGCAGACTCCTAAAACAGAAAAAATAAGTATATTAGATTAAAAATGTATGAATAAATTTAACAGCACTTTAACCATTGTAGAAAAAATACCAGTGATTTTGATAACATAACAATATAAACTATCCAAAACAGAAAACATAGACACATTTGAAAAAACAACCACACTGTGTTGGACAATATCAAGCAGCATAATACAAGAAGAGATGGAGTCCCAGAAGAACACTGAGTGGATGTCTGTGTGTGAGTATGTGGTAGGGAAGAACAAAACCAAAAATACGAAGAAATGATTGCCAAAATGTTATTAGAATCACAAATAAAGACAAAATGGCAAGGTAAACTATTGTCTAATTTCTGAAAATCAGTGATAAAGAGAAAAATCTTAAAAGGCATCAGAGATGACAAAATAATCCACATCAAAAGAAATACACACACACACACACACACAAATACGGGCAATTTTCTTCAGAAACTATGAAAACTTGGAGACAATGGAGCAATCATAAATAATTAAATAATAAAAAACAGCTTTATCTACATTTTTATAACAAGTAGAAAATTTTAAGCACTAAAGTAAAATAGGGCTCGTTTATTTTTAGAAAATTAAAAATAGGTTTGGAACTAGGGTAAAGTAAATGACACAACTAGGTCCCAAAACCTAAAGAGCTACTCACTTTCAGAGTTATATATTTGAGATTGAGAGTGCAAGACTTGTGCCTTGTGTGACCCGAGAGAGTTCCTCATTAAGTTTTTCACCAGAGGTAATTTGCTCATCTCAACGTTGTCTCAGCACTGAACAAAATCTAAAGAATTTCATTGTCAGCCACCCTCCATTGTCATTTATAAGAAAGAGTCCTAAGGCAGAAGTAAAATTTTATGAGAAGTATATGTGTGTCTGCAGAAAAAAACTGGCAATGTATTATACTGCATATCAAGTGATATACTGTTATTTGAAAGTAGGCTGTGATGAGTTAAGTATTTATATTTTAAAACTTAAAGTAGAAGTATTTATATTTTAAACCTTAAAACAGAAGTATTTATATTTTAAACCTTAAAGCAGAACCTAAAAAAAAGTACATTAGTAAACCAATAGTAGAAATAACATAAAATAATGAAGTACATATTTAACTAATCTACAAAATGTAAAAAAAGGATAAAAAATTGAACAAGGAGCATATAAGATAAATAGAAAACATAGCAAGAAGGTATATTTAAACCTAAGCTTATTCATAATCACATTACATTACATGTAAATCATTCATACACATCAATGAAAAATCAGAAATCTAATTCTGTCTACTAAAATTCTACTGTAAATATAAATACATAGATATCTGTGTGTGTAGTACAAACAAAAATTTATAGAAAACTAGAGTTACTATATTAATGTCAAACTAAATATATTTCAGAACGAAATATATGACCAGTGATAGAAAATATACTCACTGATTATAAAGGGGTCAATTTATTAAGATAACTAAACAATATTAACACAAAGAAACTATACAAGTTAAGGTGATGAATATCAGAATCCTGATTTGATAATTGTATGTCATATGCTTGTATGCATATGTATCCCATACATATGTGCAACTATTATGTATCCATAATAATTAAAAATTTTTTAGAAATAAAGAATTAGATAAATGTAATAGTGCCATGTGTTTATGTTAGAAAAGAAAAAAGAATCTAATCAGTTCCTAAAGCAAATTAAACCCAAACAAAACAGAATGCTGTTGTCTGAATGTTTGTGTCTCCTCGAATTTCCTATGTAGAAATCCTAACTCCCAAACTTATGTTATTAGGAGATGGGGTCTTTTGGGAGGGGCTTAGGTCATGAAAGTAGAGATCTGGGGCTCTTTTATAAGGGTACTAAATTAGTACTACATTAAGGATAGTAAATGAGTAGTTTTCTTACATAAGAGACCCCAGAGAGCTACCTTGCTCTTTCCATTATGTGAAGATGCAGAGAGAAGGAACCATCTATGAACCAGGAAATGGGCCCTCATCAGACATCAAATCTTTGAGAGCCTTGATTTCAGACCTCTCAGCCTCCAGATCTATGAGAAGTAAATTTATAAGTTATAAGTTTATATTATTATAAATTATAAAATTATGTTGTTTATAAGCCACAACAAAAAGGTATTTTTCTATTGCAGTCAAAATGTACTAAGGTACAAAGAAATAATAAAATACATATAAGAACAAAAATCAATAAAAATTGAAAGAACACCAAAATGGAATATCAATAAAATAAAAAGCTCATTTATTAAAAAATGAAAAAATTCTAGCTATACTCAACAAAAAAGAGAAAAAATACTAAATACTAAAGCCAGTAATGAAAGACTGTCACTAATTATACTACAGGTTATAAAATGATAGTAAGCACACAATGTTTAAACTTTATGCAAATACATTTTAAAAGTTTGGTAAACGGACACATTACTTGAGAGAAAAGAGGTTACAAAATTCACTTAAAAATAAAGAGACACCATGAATAATCCTGCATCTATTAAATACATTAAATCTATAATTTGAAACTCACATACAAAATAATTCCAGGTCAGGAAGGTTTCACTCTTGTATTCTCACAATCTTTAAAGAATAAATAGTAACAATTCTATGCAAAGTCTTTCAGAAATAAAAGAGGAAGCAACCCTAACAGTACATTATATGAGGTACAGATTACCCTTAAAGGAAAAAAATAGGTAGAGATTAACAGAAAACTACAGATCTACATTTTGATTTAAAAAATTTGTATAGGATTATTTTATTAAAAGTAGAAAAGCATTTGATGACATTTCACACATATTCATAATAAAGACTTACAGAAAAGTAGGCAAGAGAAACAAATTATTTCAAAAGTAATAAACATATATAAAAATAGTTAATATAGTGAAATACCAAATGGTTCCTCCTACTATAAGAAAGAATGCAAAAATATCCACTATGAACCATTCTGTTTGATACTTAGAAAACTGCAATACAGTGCTGAGAGACATTAAGGCAGACCTAAATAAATGGAGAGATAAACCAAGTTCAATAATTTGAATGCTTTATAGTGTTAAGAAGGTAGTTCTACTAAATTGATTTCTAGATTAATTGCAATATCAGTCCAAATCTCAGTAGGCTTTTTATATAAATAACAAATATTTTTTCAAAATTACTATGTAATGTTATAAAATATTATAAATTAATATTGAAAATATTTTACATGAAAGTTCAAATTTCTGGACCCTTTTAAGATAAGAGGATGGCAGTGTTTCTATGGTATAAACACTAAGTATATAAAAACTGAAGACTTCTATTAATATCAGACAAAATGGGCCACAAATCAAGAAATATTTTTAGCAGGATAAAGATCAATATAATTGGTCCAATTCATCAAGAGAACCTGATAATGCAAAATGTTTTTTCACACATTAACAAACAATTATGCATTTAAAATATTCAAGACAAAAACTTACAGAATTGAGAAGAAAAATATACAAATCCACAATATATTTAAAGATTTGAAAACTATTTTCTGATATTATTAAACAAGTAAATAAAAAATTTTAAAGAAAATATCTACAAATTCAATGACATTATAACCTAACAAGTTCTAGGATGCATGGAATATTATATTCATCACCAGCAAAAACTTATTTTATTTTCCAAGTGCACTGACATTCATCACATGTTAGGTAACAAATAATAAAGTTTCAACAAATTTAACAGGATTAGATCATGGAGAGTATGTTCTCTGACCCAATAGAATTAAATTTAAAATAAAAAACAAAACCAAAACTACAATGAAATCCCCAAATATTTAGATATAATAAACTTCTAATGATGCCTTGTAGCAAATAGTAAATCAAAAGATAAATTAGAAAGTATTTTGGTCTGGATAAAAATAAAAACACTACAACTTCAGGATTCCTTTGGAGAAATACGAAGTTTTTAATGTTTGTATTAGAAAAAGGAGAAATGTCTAAAATTAATGACACAAATGTCTACCTGAAAAAGTGAAAAGAAAACCAAATTAAACAAGAAGTAGAAAGTAAAATATAGAGAAAAACTAAAATTTTATAAAGACATAACAGAAATACAAAAGGAAAAGATGAAATTTAAAACGGATTCTTTGATAAAAGGAATAAACTGAATTAAATTCTAGATAGTCTGAGAAAGATACAAAGACAGAAATCTGTCAGCAAGCACTTTCAGGAAATAAAGTGGGCAAGGTTGGGAAGATGGTGGGTGTTGTAAAGATACTACAAATATCTAAATGATAATAACTTAAATTATAAAAACTTTATGCCAATAAATTTGATAATGGTTGAATAAATTGTATGGTTAGCAAAATAATCTTTACAATTACTCTAGAATAAATAAAATTTCTTCATATCTTTAGATTTATTAAAGATACTGAATTTTAATTTAATACCTTCTTAGGGGAAACAAATTCCAGACTCAGGTGCCTTCACTGTTAAATTTCATTCTTTTTAAATAGGTAAATGTTACAGTGATTATTACTCAAGTGTATATCCTGAGAATTTTTACAATAATTTGTTACATAGATTAACTTTTTTTTCTTCAAAATACAACTAATTTACTGATTATACTTTTTGGGTCTTCTATTAACATTATTAGCAAAATTTAGAAAATTTATTCATTTATATACAAAATTAATAGATACATTAAATACTCTGTGCCACCCAATGCCCAATTCACTGAGAGCATTTTACTGGATAAACAAAAAATTTTGACCCTTGATTACCTTATTGTTGGAGGTAACAAACCATAGAAGATAGACAATAGTCAATGTAAAAATAAATAAGTGGTTTTGACAATGGACAATAAGCAAAAATACCTGTTCACTTGTTGTATTGGTCCGTTCTCACACTGCTATAAAGAGCTGCTAGATGCTGGTTAATATATAAAGGAAAGAGGCTTAATTGACTCAGAATTCTGCAGGTCTGGGGAAGCCTCAGAAAACTTACAATCATGCCAGAAGGGGAAGCAAACCATGTCCTTCTGCACATTGTGGCAGGAAGGAAAAGTGCAGAGTGAAGGGGGTAAAAGCTTTTTATAAAACCACCAAATCTCATGAGAACTCACTCACTATCACGAGAACAACATGGGAGAACCACCCCATGATCTAATCACCTCCCGGAGATCCCTCCCCCAACACATGGGGATTATAAATCTGATTATAATTCAAGATGAGATTTTGTGTGGGAATGGAGCCAAATTATATCACTAGAAAAGATAATATATATAATACATAAGTAAATTTTATAGTATACTAGCAGATGGTTAATTCTACTAACAAATACAGAAAGGTAAAGGATGAAAGGGATCTCTTGCTTAAGAAAGGGATACACATTTATATGTGTTGATTTTAAGGAATCAACAAGGAATGATTAGCAAGACTTGAAGAGAAAGGAGAAGCCATGTGAGTCTCTGGGGTGGAATGTTACAGGCAAAGATAAAAGCCAGGAAAAAGCAGACACTTCCTATATTCCTGTATTCATCCATTTTTATGCTACTGATAAAGATATACCCCAGCCTGGGAAATTTACAAAAGAAAGAGGTTTAATGGACTTATGTTTCCACATGGCTGGGAAAACCTCACAATCATGGCAGATGGCCAGGAAGAGCAAGTCACATCTTACATGGATGGCGGCAGGCAAAGAGAGAGCTTGTTCAGAAAAACTCCCTCTTCTTTAACCATAAGATCTTGTGGGACTTATTCACTATCATGAGGATGGGATGGCCTGCCACCATGATTCAATTATCTCCCACCTGGTCCCTCCCACAACACATGGGAATTCAAGATGAGATGTGGGTGGGGACAAAGCCATACCATATCACCATCTCTGTGCAAATGCTCTCTCTCTTCTATTTACCTCTGCAATTCTAGCTAAATTTTCCTTTCTAAGCCCCAATCTTCAATTTCTCAACATACAGGGAGAGTTATCCTTTCTTTGGATTATCCTTTCACTGTGTCTTCTGGAAACTGAGAGAAAGCTTGGGATAAGTCAGATTTTATTTTTTCTTTTGTCAGGGATCAGCATCCTCAGCTTCTTGTCAATGGTTAAAAAATCATTGTTGATTATATTTTGTCTGCAGTTAGTTTTTATTTGTGTGTGTGTGTTTTTGTTTTTTGTTTGTTTGTTTTGTAAAGAATTTAGTTTAGTTCCTCTTACTGTATCATGGTGAAGTACAGCTATCTTCAACCTATTTTTTCTGACCAATCTTTGTCTTTATATTGATTTAACATTACTTTTTAAATTTAGTCTTAAAATTCTTACTTTAAATAGTAGTTTTAGACTACTTATATTTAATATTGTTATCTATATTTTGGCCTTAAATCTACTATCATAAAATTTATTTTCCATAAAATTTAATCTGTTCTTTATTACTATTTTCCACTTTTGATGCTTTATCTTGGATTAAGTGTTTAATTTTGAATTTTATTTTATTTCAATTAATAAGATTATTAGTCATATGTTTTTGCTTATTTTGTCCTGTTAGGTGCTCTAAGGTTTATACTATGTACCTTAACTTTCCAATAACATTAAGGTGACTGAATATTTTTGCCCTGATACCTAGAAAAAGACAAGCATGCTTGCTCTGATAAATTCTTTTGAAGCTTATACTACACGTCTTAGCAATGCATTGAGAGAGGTAAGAATACATACAATTTAGAAAGAAAGATGTCTTTCTTCACAGATATTATTATATTCTGTGCAGAAAATAAAAAAGATTTGCAAAAAAGTTAGTAAAATTGTGTGTTTATCTAGATCACAGGATATAATAATAATATACAGAAATCCATTATATTTTGATAGATTTGCAATGACCATTCATAATCTGAGATTTAAAAAAAAAAACAAGGAAAATAAGGGAGTGCTCAAATGCTAAGAAAGGCATGTTAAAAGAGCTGAGAAACTTGAATAGTTCCTACTAGCAAAATTAGCAAAACTGAATCAATAAAATAAGTAAAGGAACAGATCATGGGCCACTGAAAGAAATAGGAATCCATGGGTCCACGTGAGATAAACCCATGAATTAATGAATGAATAAAAGAAGGAAACACTATTATTTTCCCACAGAGTGCCAACCAATAAAAGGAAAAGGGTTGATATTGTATGTTAAAAAATTATCATTTGAAAATCTTCACATTGTAATTTGATTGAGTGTTGAGGCATCAATGGATGCTAAACCTAGTGGGTAAATGTTGGAGAAGAAATGTATCTCTCCACAAAACACTTAATTTTAGATTAATTACATGTATATATACATGTATACAATAGATAGTCTATATATAAAATATCATTTCATGTCATGTTATATTAATATAAAGAAAATGAGGAGTACCTCTGCAATAGAGAAATCTGGAAGACATTACCTTTCAAATGATCAAAATTAAAATCACCACTGATGGGAAAAATTAATTTCATATATAACCTGAAGAAATATGATAAGAAGAGCATAGCACCATGTTGGTGATTTTATTGCCAATAATGCATGTCTTGACACCTCATTATGAGAAAACACCAGACAAATCGAAATTGGGAGACATTCTAAAAATAGAATCCATTGGAATATTACCTTCAAAAAATGTTTAGGATGCTATGAAGGGTGAAGAAGGACTATGGAATGCTTCTGATTTAAAGAAGTTAAAGAGACATAGAAACCAGGAACAACACATTATCCTGAAGTGGATTGTTTTTTATAAAAAGCATCAGGGCAGTTTGTGAACTAGAATGGGTCCTCTCTTGGTGATTGTTACATGACAGCTGTTTGCATCACCTTAGCAACTTAAAGATAAATTGTTTAAAGATAAATTGGCGTCGTTTCATACAAACATTAAAGAAAATGGTAATGTCCAACAGGCACAGAGTGCCCACCTAATTACTGTTCCAGGGGTCCTCAGAGGCTGTTTTCCTACTGTCTTCTTGATTTTTAAAATATATTTTAGTTGATTGGTTTTATTCATGCCATAATTGGTGGAAATTAATCCTTGATTCTATAAATTTTTACCTAGTCCGTTTCCAATGTTTTTTGTTTGTTTGTTTCTCTTTCCTTACTTATTTATTTATGCTTTTCTTTTACTTTTTTTGTAAAGTGGAATAAGTTAGGAATGAGTATATTATGACCAACTAAACTGAGTAGTTTTATGTCAAGTTGCAAATTATGTTAAGTATCAAATATTTGATTTTTTTAGATTTCAAAATAGTCACGTTTTCAGAAAAAATCATTAGTAGTTTTCTAAAAATAAAATCCTCTTGATTCAACAAAACATACTTGATGTGGTTTTTCCTCCCAAAACAGGCTCCTCCTTGAGTTATTGGGAATAAGTAATGCTTCTCAATAAAGCTTCGTGTCAACAAATCTGAACATATAACATCTCAGCTAGAGCAAGTTACTAAAAATAGGCTCAATTTGTAGCTTGCAGTCATGCCTTCATAACCACTTTTCAATTAATCCTGCTTAATTCAGAGAATGTATAAATATGTAATTTTGCATGACTTTTAAGGCAGCCATTTTATTTTGAAACGCAACTAACGTTATATGCATAAATTCAATAAATATAAAGCTGTTTTCAAAAATTGAATGTTTTTACTTGTAAGTTATTCTTTCAATAATAATAAAGAGATGATCACTAGTCAGTTTATTTTTCATAGTTGAATTGATTTAGTTGAACTTCATTGGGTGTTCTTATGTTTTAGTCATGAGTCCATGCTCTTTAACAAGCTAAAGGAAACCATATTATATGCTAAAAGATGTCAGTTTGTGAACAATTTAATGAATATATAGAGTTACAACATTTTTCCCGATTGGATGTTGGGGTTTACTATAATTCTTTGTTACTTTATATGTGAATATACTCACTACTCACTATGTTTATGTATGTAGGAAACATGCTAGTGATGAAAATTCAAGCAGTTATTACCCTAGTTTTCTTTCATTAACAAAATACAGAATAGAAATTATCTACTTATTCTTGGAGGTCTTAAAATATCTTTTCAGTTGACTGATAATTCTGCTATCAAGAGCTACAAGTAGGTGCTCTGGCCGTCTATATCTGTATTTCCATATATTCAATTCCTTACTATATATTTCTCATTTGATATTCTATACCCAATTCAAACAAAACCATTTCATGTATACAATGTACTTTTATTTATGCTTTTCTCTATCATTAAGTAGAAAGCCATTTGCACCTTAGTCTAAATCTGAAATGTGCCTCTACCTAACCTTTGTAATACATTTTCACTATTTCTTAGTTATTAGAATAAATTTACATAATTTCTGAAACAACTTTCTCTATGGAGTATTCCCTTTAGTTTCTTTTCCCTTCCAAACAATTTAATGAATTACAAATATGGGGGAGATATTTTTTCAATGGGTAAGACTTGACTTCTACAAATACATGTTTAATTCCTTCTCAAAATTATTTCTACTTCCTCTTATTCAACACTGTGCTAGATTTTAGGGATATATAATAAGACAATATATGAGGTCCTTGCTGTTGTGAAAGGTACATTCTTATCTTTGGCAAATTGTAGAATCTTTAGCTTTGGTATGCAAGGGCATTGGTGTTTGGTACATGCTTGGCTCTTTGCCTTAAGAATTGCCTCTTTCCACCATGCATATTTCACCTGTGTGGGAATTCTTGCAGATCTCTATATTATTGATAGCCATTTTGCTCCGACATTTTATACAAAGCTGAATCAGCAACAGTATGACTAAACACAACCAAAAAAGAAAGCTAGAAAGATTATATTAGACACTTACATGTATGGATCATTATGGTGAGGACTGCTAAAAAACAAAACAAAACAAAAAAAAACACCTTCAGCCAAAATAAATTTACAGTTTAATTGAGTAATGAATGATTGATAAATTGGAAAGCCCCCACAATCACAGCAGATTCAGAGAGACTCCAGGGGTGTCTCATGGTCAGAATGAATTTATAGACAACACAAAGTAAAGTGACGTATAGAAATCAGAAGTGAGGTACAGAAACAGCTGGATTGGTTACAGCTTGGCACTTGCCTTATTTGAACACTCAGCTGTACGCCACTAGTTGAAGTATGGCTGCTGGAATTGGCCAAGACTCAGCGATTGTTACAGGCGCATATTCCTAAGTTAGGTTTTAGTCTTGTGTACCTATTGAGTTAGGTTGCAGTTCATTCACAAGGACTGAAATATAGAAGTATGGCATTTTTCTCAGGCCATATTTAATGTGCTTTAACAGGACTTTGGGTATGTCATTGTATTTTACTAATATATTTTACAAACACCCCATGTTATCTTAATCTATTTAAGTTCACACTTTTTAATCAAATTTTACTTTAAATGTATCTAACCTCCTAAACTTCTGCCTTTGTGAACCAATAATACTTTTTCCAAATTCTTATTATAGCACATATCAGACTATATAGCTATAGACACTTTGGCATCATTGTTTTCCCATACAAAACACAATACATTTAATGAATTAATGAATGATGCATCAGCAAAGAAGGTTTTACTGAAAGTAAGAAAAATTATAAGCCAGTTTGGGTTTCCCAAGAATCAGACACCAACATGGAATTACACATATAAGAGAGTAACCAGAGAAAACACCTTTGAAGAATAAAAAGAAGATAGAGCAAAAGGAGGCTGCAAGAGCCTCCAGATCATGATGCAAGCCTGGCACCTCAAAACAAGAGAGAGCATGAAAGATAATTGGAAAGGAGGAGCCTCAGAGAAGAGTGCACATCTGAGAAATTGTCAGCCACACTGAAAGAGCACCAAAGTGAACTTTGACCTTTAGATGAGTCCATGTGGGACAAGAATGAAAAGCCCTATAATATCTTCCTTGCTCAGCATTGGCAGGGAGCAACCTAAGGAGAGCATGGCACCTGCATGTAAGCCAAAAATAAAATTCAATGTCCGTTAACCAACTAAATGGGCCCTTTATCTTGGCCAAGGGCATTTTAAACTAAACCTGAAACAGTAATGGCCATGATGGAAATGGGTGGTTGAACATGCCTCGTTATTTACTTTCATCCTTTCGGAATTCATGCATAGCTGAACAGTGTTAACATTAAAGTAGAGACTTAAGAATGACAAAACAGACTCTTCGTAGCAATAAGATATCAACATGACAGATAGCAGGCCTTGAAAGAAATCAAAGTATTTCACCACAAAAATACATTTCTTTGACATATTTTGAAATGGCCCTACAAGGCTGTTTCTGTGGGGAAAATCTCCATTTTGTAGAGAATCCCCTTCTCTTTCCAAGTCTTTTTCCTGATTTTTCCTGATTCCAAGTCCTTTTTCCTTTTTATGTCTGATAAAAATCATTTACAATCTATTCTCAGTGAAGCCTGCTACCTGCAAGCTTCATCTGCATAAGAACCTTGGTCTCTAAAACACCTTATCTTAACCCATACACTCCTGTCTATTGATTCCGGTCTTTAGATAAATTATTTTAGCCACTTGTCAAATGCCAATCAGAAAATCTTCGAATTCACCTTTAACCTGGAAGCCTTCACCCACCCCACCCCCACCTGCTTTGAGTTGTCTCACCTTTCCCAATTTTACCAATGTGTATCTTAGGTATACTGATTGATGTCTTATGTCTCCCTCACATGTATAAATCCAAGCTGTAGCCCAACAACCTTGGCACATGTTCTTAGGATCTCCTGGGCTGTGTGACAGGCCGAGGTCACTCATATTTGCCTCAGAATAAATCTCTTCAAATATTTCACAGAGTTTGACTCTTTTCTTCAACATGCATTACCACTGTAGTAGCTCTGAAGTGGTTGAGTTGGAGGTAACCCACCAACAACCCTCCTCATGGAAATTTCTCTTGAATGAAAATATGGGAGGAGTAAATTCTTCACTGCCAAATACTATTTCAAATTCTTTCAAGCATAAGGTAAATTCATTATTTAACATAAAAGTCAATCAAGAGGTAAAAAGAGGTCACAGTTTGCTTACGTATTTTCTGGCACTTCTTTGCTATTGGCTGTGTCACTTTTACCCTTAACATTTCTGCAAAAATGTCTGCAGACATTTAGGGTCATCATATTCAGATACAACCTTACCCAGAAGACCAAGAAAGAGACACCAAGAGAAACATTTATCTTAAAAACTCTTAAGGTAATTTGCCCTGATTTGCCTTTGTACTGAATTGGGCCATATGCGTATTTTTGTTCTTATTTTTGGCAAAGAATCAGGCTATACTTAGAGTAATCACATCATACCTGAATCTGAAGACGAGACAGTAAACTTAGAGAAGTACTGAAGCCTTGGAAGCCTTGGATATATTGAATATGTTCTATTTTAGAAAGAAAAGGTGAGATAATGTATGCTGGCAGTCAACCAACAGCATATGCTCCTAATGAACAACTGGAGAGTCATTTAAGTTCAATGTTGGGGATTTTATTAGAAACTGTAAGATGAACACACAATTCATTTTCTCTTTCCTTGTAAATTTGGACAATATTTGCTATATTCGCCTATATTTTGGCATAGAAATTTAGGTTCTAAGTATATAGTAGTGATGTAGCCTTCTTACAGGGTCACATAGACCCAGAATTAATAATTTTTAACACTCTTTTTATTCTCTCTGGTTGGCTAACATTAAAACAATCCACAGAAAACCCCCAAGAGCTATGTATTGAGGATGGCAAAACCACAGATGGGAAAATAATAAATCTTTGAATGACCCTGCAGGAAATCACAGATAGCATTCCTATTATTTAAGCAAGCAATAACTTTTATTGTTTTAAGAGTTGGAGGTTTAATTTTTTCAGCATTACTGTTACCACAATTATTACAGGAAATGAAACCAGTAAAAAAAAAAATAGAGGGAACAAGGTTTATTGACATCTATGAGGCATTTTCTTTCCCCTAATATTACATACTCTAGATTTTATTTCTGCACAAAAAATATTCTCTATGTCTAGCCTAAAGAACTATGTCTTATTCATATTTATACTCTTCATAGATCAAAAGTGTGCTTAAAATACTGTACATTTAATGAGTTATTTTTGAATGTAAGCAACTTTGAATTCATCTTTGCATTTTTAATCTTATGTTTCTATTAAATGTATTATTAAATTCTACTAACACTTTCCTCAAAATAATTCTCAATATTTTGGTTTTTAATTTTTTACTGCCTTTGCATTCTCCTGGCAGAGACCCATTTCACCTCTCCTATAGATTATTTCATAAAGATTTTATCGTCTGTATCATATATATTTACAATATTAAAAGTTATCTGTAGCACGCTCTCATTGTTGCTTATAGATTAGGTTTGCTTCTCTATGTACTACTCTGGTAGGCAGTGGTTAAATATACTGCTTTAAGCCTTTTCACAGTACCTTCTATAATATCATCATGCACAATTTTAGGCACACAGCAGAAAATCAATGAAACATATTTAACTGACTAAAAATTGAAAAACATTGGTATATATGTAGGACAGATACTGATATTTTTATAAGCCCAACTCTGAAATGGTGATGCATAAAAAGTTGATAATTCCTTTTAGCAGAAACTATTAATAGTCATTTTTCAACATAATGCAAAATATATTTGAGATTGATAAATATTTTAGAACTCAAGTGCAAGAAAGCCATTAAGGGAATCCCACAATTTTTGTTGTTTCTAAAACCTAATATAATTTAAGATTATGAACAGCCTTCTTTCTCAGAAGAAAAACATATCACCAACCCACCACATTAAAAAAATGCATTATTCCAATCAATCTTGTTAATATACCATAGAAATTGAATTTTTTAAAAAAATTCAGAACTTTAAAAATAAATACTAACCATAATAGCTCAATTAAAATTATATCTATATTCTTGGAGGTTTTCAAATGCCATATCTAAAAACAGGATATAGTAAGGTATATCCAGGGATAAACTAGCTGTTAAAAAATAATTGATTGAGACCTGTTATTATTGGCTAAGTAAACTTCTCTTACCTTCCAAAACATGTTCCATTATTTCATAAGATCTAGAAATGATATCAAGTTTGAAATTTGTTGAAATGTTTTCCTATTGACCTACTTATAAATGGGTTATTTACATATTCAGCGTAATTACTTGTGCTTAAAACTGTTTTCAAGATAAATTTGAACTATGTCATTGTTCATATAAAAGAAAGATGCTTCTTTTCAATTAATTTCTATTAGTTAATAATTCTACAAATTGTGTTTATTTCAATGGAGATTAAAGAATATAAAAAGAATAATGTTTCTGTTTTAGACTATACTTTATTAGTAAACCATTTGGGGGGTGGGGCAATGAGGATAAACTCCATCAAAGGAACATAAGTTAGAAAAGCTGTAACATAAACTTAGGTTATAAGTCTGAATTACCCTAGACAGTTAGTCTATGGAATATGAGACTGTATGCAGCCTCAGCTGGAAGCACTGCCCTTAAGCAAAGACCATGAAAGAGATGCTGAAATAATTATTCAGGCAGAAATTTAGTATAATATTTCTTTGGGAATGTTCTCCAATAGTTGGAAGTCAAAATAACAAGTAATTCTCACTTCCATTCTTTGTCTTCTCAATATACATCCCTATATCTTGCAAGGCATTTAGCAAATTAAAGTACATTTACCAGCCTCTTTGCACTTTGATGAGTCAATGTAACTAATTTTTGGACGATAACGTGTGAACAGAAGCAATATTTGCAGCATCTAAAAGAAATGTGTGTGACCTTTTACCCGTTACCATGCTTTAGAATTCATAGCTGTTTTCAGCTATTTTGTATATAAAATAAGCATATAAAAGCGACAAAATAAATCAACATCGTAGAGCTATCGTGACATCACTGGACTTCTCCTAAAACTTTTACATGAAAAATATGTGAATTATTTCAAGCTGCTCTACTTGTTTTTCATAGACTCTGTCATTAATTAATTTTTTATGTACCACTAAAAAGCATTTTAAAATGCCTCTAAACTATGGCACACTGCTAAATATTTTCTAGATGCCTCAAAAAAGTTTTTATATGCAGTAATTTTGTTTTACATACACATGCACACTTAACTGATTTCAAGTTTTTTCAACTTTCATATGAAATTGAAAGTTGAAAAGGCACATGAAATGTCTTTTTGAAATTCCTAACTCAATTTAATTTTTTTTTACATTTAGGTTTACCATACTGTTTTAACAAAATGCTCCGTATTTATTCTAATATTTTTAAAACTTTAGGAATAAATTAATATTTTGGATTGTTCTACAGTATTGTATCCTGAACTGGAACTTTTTTACTGATTTATTAATTGAAATATGAAATATGATATGCACATGTGAAAGACACAGATCTTGAGCATATAGCATTAAACATTTTTAGAACGTAAAATACTAATGTCATCACAACCTACATGAATATGAATTGAGTATTACTAGAATCCAGGAGTCTCTATTGTGAACCTCCAATCATTACTATAGGCAACCACTGTTCTTACTTTTATCTTTATAAATTACATTTGCTTGACATTGAACTTCATAGAAATTGAACCATACAATAGATATTAATTTCAATCTGGTTCAAAAAAACACAACCAACAGCGTGGGTGTCAGTGTGATATTCTGTGCTGCTTCTCAGCTGAATCAATGGTGCTGACAGCTGCAATAGCAACAGCAGTGTCTTCAGAAGTTTTACTGAGAGTTTGGAGTCCAGAGTTTCTGCCTAACGGCAGCTGCGCTCAAATAGGGCCAATGGTCAGTCTGGAATCATGGGACCCAGAATGCACCACCTTCTCCTACTCATTTTTCACAGTTAAGGATGGAAGTGGCTTCCTTCATTTGCTCATCATCTGGAGTAGCAGGCCTCTTTTGCTCTTTCAGTGTTTCTAACATTGTTGTAACCACGCCCCCAACCCCTGTATTATATTGTCTATGCTTTAAAAACTATTTTGTGGACTTGAATAAAATTTATTTTCCCATTCCCGATATAAAATAATTGGGTCATTCTTTACTCATGTATCAATTCAAATTTCTAAGACTCTATTTATCTCTTCTCCTCAATAATGTTTCTTTTTTCTTTTGCTTTTTTTTAGACAGGGTCTTGTGCTCTCACCCAGGCTGGAGTGCAGTGGGTGGAACACAGCTCACTACAGCCTTGACCTCTTGAATTCAAGTGATCCTCACACTTCAGCCTCCAGAGTAGCTTTGATGACAGGTGTGTGCCACCAGGCCCAGCTACTTTTCTTTACTTTTTGTAGAGACATGGTCTTGCCATATTACCCAGGCTAGTCTCAGATCCCTGGGCTCAAGTATCCTCCTGCCTCCACCTCCCAAAATGCTGGGATTATAGGTGTAAGCCACCATGCCCAGCTAATGTTTTCTATTTACCATCTCTTTTCGCATACATATGTTATATATATATATATATATATATATATATATATATATATATATATAATATAGTATGGATGTGTATATACCATATTATTAACAATTAGATCTAAAATATAGAAAGAATTTTAATACCTTTATTTTCTGTACCTTCATAGTTAATCTCATATTTTCCAAATCTGTTAATGTGGCACTGGTCACAGTTATAGCTCCAAGGAATGAGCATCTGCTTAGTCTCATAACCAGGACCCAACCTGCAACATTAGTATTACAAATTACTTTCTAATTCCAGTCTCACTCTTTCATCACCAGTTCTATCTCTGCACACTTACTAATCCCAATTATTTCAAAGCAAGTTGCTTAACCTGCTGTGGCAGTTTTCCCCTCTCCTTCAACTTTCTCTCTTTTTTTCTCCTAATAATACCTGCCATGTAAGAATCCCTTTCATTACATACATCAAATAGCCACTTCTTCCAACAATTTTATTCAACCTAAGTATTCAACCTAAGGGCTTAGATTCATGGTCTGTCCTTACAATGCCGTTCCATCTTTTTAAAGCTAATTGCGATGCACCTAGTCATTTTTATTGCGCACTATGTATGATAGCCAAGATACAGAATAAGCCTAAGTGTCTGGCAACAGATGAATGCAAAAAGAAAATGCACTATCTGTATACAATGAAGTACTCTTTAGCCATAAAAAGTAAAATCTTGCCATTTATGACAATATGGATGAATCTAGAGGACATCGTGGTAAGTGAAATAAGCCAGACACAGAAAGACAAGTACAGCATGATCTCACTCATAAGTGGAGTCTAAAAAAAAAAGAAAATACAAACATTTTAAAAAGTTAATAGCATAGAAGCAGAGAGTAGAAAAATGTTACCAGAGACTAAAGACAGGAGGACAAAAAGAAGGATGAGGAAACTTTGATTGATGGTATAAAATTACAACTAGATAAGAGCAATAAATTCTGGTGTTCTGTTGCATGTAGAGCAAGTATGGTTAACAGTGAAATATCGTATATTACAAAATAGCTTGAAGAGTTGTCTTCGAATGTTCTCACCACAAAGAAATGACAAATATGTAAGATAATAGATTCACTCTGAATGGATCATTATACAACATGGATAGGTATCCAGGTATCAAATTGTACCCCATGAATATGTACAATTATTACATGTCAATTAATAAATAAATAATAAGATCACTAGATTTAATCAAGAGACTCTTATTGACTTGTTCTCATTTTAGAATTTTAAAACTAGTCTGCCCTATTGCAAACTACCTATTTTTAAAACTACTCTTCTCCTGCACAAAAATCTCTCAAAGTCTCCTTTCTCCTGAAAGAAAAATGACCTATTTAATTTACAAATATTTCAAAAATTAGTACACAACATTTTATGTATGAAAATAATGCTGTAGACTGACTTGCAAATAACATTCTAAGATTCCCATTACCTTTAAGAGGAGTCAGCTGTCATTTTGGAAAAATTAAGATTTCAACAATTTTACACATATTATGAAAATATTTTTGATAACGAAAAATGTTCAATCTTAAATCGTGTAAATAAGTAAATAGAGAGGTAAAATAAAAAGCTTAATGTTTATGTGATATTGAGAAAAAATCTTTTTTAAAAATAAAATACAGATTAAAATACAACTTGGTGCTTTAACTGAAGGGTGTCCCTACTCCCTGATGCGTTTGAGACTGTCACAAACCTGAACCCATTTGGACAATACATGAAATAATCATTTTGCATCATTTCACTATTGGGGAAATGATAACTTCTTACATTAAATGAAAAAAAAACTGAAAAAGTAGTATTACTTTGTCTTTTAAGTGGCAAGATAGGGTTGATATGATGCCGAAGTACAAACAGTAAGGACTAAGTGAGGATGGAGGATATATGAATAAAAGTATCAAAAGTCAAGAGAAATGATAAAACAGACAATTCTGGGGAACACTAGTAGAAGCTATGCATGGAATATGGTTAGACAAACAGTGATATTTACTTTTGAGTTTTGCTTACATATTTCTAACATTTCTTGATAGGACTGGCATTCTAACAGTTATTCTTATTGTTATAAATTCTTTCTCTGGACTCATTTCAACTGATAAATGCCAAGGTAGGCAGTTGGATGCTAGGATAATCTGGCCATAAATCATGATTCAGGGTTATAAACAAAGTGTATGCTTTATTTTGTTGTGGTGGTGGTTCCTTCATAACTAGGAAAAGGGAGACAAGCTTTCTTACTTTTCAACAAAAAGTTTCTCTGTAATCATTTACATGCTGACCTTCTTATATAAATACACAAAGTGACTCTTAGGAACATGTAAGTGATTATAGGAAGTTAACATATACCAATGACTTATTTGCCACCAACTTTATAAGTAGGCTTCTAGTTACTGCAGCATATTAAATAATGGTATCATTTGTTTTTCTGAAACAGATGCAAAACACTGTGTTCAATTTTTTTTTTTAAGATGGTGTCTTGCTCTGTCGCCAGGCTGCAGAGCAGTGATGCAATCTTGGCTCACTGCAACCACATTGCTACCACTGTAGCCGAGTTGTGGTCTCTGATGTCACCAACAGCTGCAGCGAGGTAAGCCACGGAGGCGCAGGCTCTGGCTCCAGCCTCCAGCATGCAGCGGTGTCTCTTCCTTCTCCTCGTCTTCCAGCCCGGCAGGAGAAGCTCCCGCTGCTAGCCTCCCTCCTACCGCTCCGTCACCAACACAACCAACAGGGAGGCAGCGCCCCAGGCTCCAGGCTCCAGGCTCCAGCGGGTGAAAACTAATGGACCCTTCTAGTTCTCTAACCCAGGTACCTAGCAGCTGAGCACACTGACACAGAAGACCCAAAAATGACGCACCACTTCCTCAGCACGCTTTATATACTGAAGTTACGGATCCTGGACTACATGTTCTGATTGGATGAGAGAAAAACCTCTAGGCCTACTCTGATTGGACTTTATTTTCATGCTGTGATTGGTTATTTTAAGACTTGCTCTCATGCAATCAGAACATGAAGTCTAGGAACCGGCATGCGCATAACCTCCGTATATAAATGATGCTGAAAAACTGTTACGGTTTTTTTTTTTTTAGGGTTCGGTGTTTTACTGTTGAGCTGCTCAGTGCCCAGCTTAGAGGACCAGGAAAAGGAGTCACCGGCCGTATGCTGGAGGCTTGAGACACGGCACAGCGGCGCAGCTCGCCTCGCTATGGTTGGTGGTGGCAGTGGAGATTGCGATTGCCGCGCGGCTGGAGGGATAGGAAGAGGAAAATAGTTTTGGGATAGATAGAGGGGTGGGTAAAGAGTTTGGTTATTGCCAAAGGGAAAAAAGGATAGCGAGGAGGAGAAGGCGTTGCAAAAAGACGATGGGGAAAAGATGGTGGGGAAAAAAGGTTTTGGGTAGATGGAGGTGGAAAGACAGGGTGTGGAGCGGGAGTGAGGGAAGGTTTTGCAGAAAGACGGTGGATAGAAAGTTTATGGGTGGATGAAGGGGGAAAAGATGGTGGCAATTGGGGAGAGGAGAGAGTGGTGAGGTGGGGGAAATGGGCTAGCAGTAGGGAGAGAGGGTTTTGTGAAAAGACAGTGGGGAGAGAAGTTTTTGGGTAGATAGAGGAGCAGAAGAAGATAGCAAGTGGGAGAAGGAAAAAGGGTAACTAGCGGGAGGAAGACAAGGTTTTGCGAAAAAACAGTGGCAGAAAAGAAAGATGGTGGCGAAAAGACGGTAGGTAAAAAGTGTTTGGGTAGATGGAGGAGGGAAAGAGGGTGACGAGGAGGAGAAGGGAGGGTGGCGAGAAGGGAGCAGGGAAAGAAGGGTGGGAAAAAGACGGGAAAATAGTTTGGGATAGATGCAGGGCAAAAAAAAGGGTGACAAGCAGGATAGGGGAGAGAAGAGGACGAGTGGGAAGAGGGGGCAGACTTTGTGAAAAGATGGGGAAATTTTGGGGGGTAGATGGGGGGAAGAGAGAGGTGAGCAGGAGTGGGGAGAAGGCTTTGAGAAAAGATGGTGGGGAAATGTTTTTGGGTAGATGGAGAAGGGAAAGAGTGGCAAGGAGGAGCAGGAGGAAAGACAATGAGGAAAACAGTTTTTGGGTAGATAAAGGGGGAAAAGAGGGTGGTGAGCAGCAGGAGTAGGGAAAAGGCTTTGGGAAAAGACGGGGGGAAAATGTTTTTGCTTAGATGGAGGAGGAAAAGGGCATGATGACAGCAGGAGGGGGAAAAAAGAGGGTGGCCAGGGAGAAGGGGGAAAATACGGTGGGAAAAAACGGGAGAAAGTGTTTGGGTAGATGGTTGGGGAAAAGCGTGGTGAGCGGGAGAATAGAGAAGGCTTTGCGAAATGACGGGGGTGGGGGCGGGGAGAAAACGAAATGATGGTGGGGAGAAAACGATGAAAACGGTGAAAACGTTTGGGGGTAGATGGAGGAAGAGAAAGGGTGGTGAGAGGGAGAGAGCGAA
Organism: Homo sapiens; assembly: GCF_000001405.40. Taxonomy (NCBI): domain Eukaryota; kingdom Metazoa; phylum Chordata; class Mammalia; order Primates; family Hominidae; genus Homo; species Homo sapiens. The sequence goes on from NC_000009.12 coordinate 67,834,218, forward strand.
ATGCGGTCGGGAAAAGAAGGTGGGGAAATAGTGGGGGACAAAAGTTTTGGGTAGATTTTTAAAAATAAGATTATTTGTATTTTCACTTTTGAGTAGTTTGAGTTCTTTAGATATTTTGTGTATTAACCTCTTGCCTGATGCATAGCTGCAAAGACTTTCTTCCATTCTCGGGTTCTGTCTTCATTATACTGATTGTGCTTCCTCTGCTTTGGAAAAGGTTTTAAGTTTAATGTAATTACATCTTTGCTTTTGTTGCTTGTGCTTTTGATGTCTATTTGAAAATTCCTTGTCCTAACCAATTTCATGAAGCATTTATCCTATGTTTTCTTCTCTGGTAGTTTCATAGTTTCAGGTCCTGTATTTAAATCTTTTATTTTGAGTAGATTTTTGTATATGGTAAGGTAATGGCCTAGATGTATTCTTGTACATGTGGGTGTTGGGTTTTCCTAGTACAGTTTATTGAAGAGATTGTCCTTCCCGAAGGTGTGTTCTTGGGGCCTTTGTTAAAAATGAATTGACCGTAAACGCGTGAATTTATTTATGATTTCTCTATTCTGTTTCACTTGTCTATGTCTGTCTGTCTCATTCGTTCATCTCTCTTGTCTCTCCCCCGCCCCTTTTATTGAGAGTACCATACTGTTTTGATAGTACCATCCTTACTATAAATTTGTAGTATATTTTGAAATCAGGTAGTGTGATGCCTCCAGCTTTTCTTTTTATTCCAGATTCTTTTGTCTATCTGAGGTATTTTGAACTTCCATGTGAATTTTGAGATTCTTTTTCTATTTCAATGAAGAATGTCTTGTAATTGAACATGGATTGCATTGATTCTGTAGATCACATTGGGTGATACACATATTTTAACATTCTTCTAGTGCATAGAGATGGGATATCTTTCCATTTACTTGTGTCTGCTTTAGTATCTTTCATCTATGTTTTATGAAGTTTTCATTTTGGGATCTCTTGCCTTTTTGGTTAAGTTTATTCCTAGATATCATTTTTTTGGTAATGAAATAGCTTTCTCGATTTCTTTCTTAGATATTTCACTATTGGTGCATGGGTGTAGTATTCATTTTTATATTTTGATACTGTATCTTGGAACTTGACTAATTTATTATTTCTAGTAGGTTTTTTGTGGAATCTTTAGGGTTCTCTCTATATATGTTCATGTCACCTGGAAACAGACAATTTGACTCCTTTTTTCCAATTTGGATGCCTTTTATTGCATTCTCCTAATTGCTCTAGCTAGGACTTCCAGTATTATGATGAACAAAAGTGGTGTAAAAGTAGCCACACTTGTTCCAGATCTTAGAGGAGAAGAGCTTTTAACTTTTCCTTCTTGATTATGTTAGCTGTGGGTTTGTCATATATGGCCTTTATTGCACTGAGATATGTGTCTTCTGTACTCATGTTGTTGAGTTTTTATCATGAAGGAATGTTGACTTTTATTTTTTTCAGCGTCTACTGAAATGATTATATGGTTTTTGTTGTTGATTTGCTGAATGTGATGTTGCATATTTATTTGTGTTTATTGAATCATCCTCATATTCCTGGGTTGAATGAAATCCACTTGATCATGGAAGATGATCTTTTTATTGCATTGTCAAATGCAATTTTCAAGTATTTTGCTGAGGATTTCTTACACCTCTGTTCATCAGGGATATTTGCCTGTGGTTTCCTTTTTGTGTTGTGTTCTGGTCTGGTTTTTGTACCAGGGTCATGCTGTCCTCATAGAACAAGTTTTGAAGCCTTTCTTCCTCTTCATTTTATGGGGAATATTTTGAGTAAAATAGATATTAGCTATTTTTAAAATGTTTGGTAATTCAGCAGGAAAACCATGATTCTTGTGTTTTTCTTTGCCAGGAGACTTTTTATGACTGCTTTAATTGCATTCCTCATTATTGGTCTGTTCAGGTTTTTTATTTTTATTTTTTATCATTCTATCTTGGGAATTCGTTATGTGTCTAGAAATGTATTCACTTCCAGATTTTTCAATTTGTTTGTGATGTTTTTAGTAATCTTTTAATGCTTCGTATTTCTGGGTTACCAGTTCTAATGCCTTCTTTATGACTTTGTTTTCTTTTTATCTAACTTCATCTAGTTAAAACTCGTCAATTTTGATTTTTTTTAAAACACCCCAGCTTTTGTTTCATTGACTTTTTGTATTTTTTGTTTCTATTTTTAAAATTTCTTCTCTAATCTTTATGGTATTTTTTCTGCGAATTCTAGCATTTGATTGTTCTTGTTTTTCTCATTACTGGAGGTGTACTGTCAGGCTATTTGAGATCTTCCTACTTTTCTGATGCAGGCATTTATAGCTATACACTTTTCCTCTTAGAATTGCCTTTGGTGCATCCCACAGGATTTATGTTGTGTTTCTATTCTTACTTGTTTCAATAAATATTTAATTTCCCTTGTATTTTTTTCATTTCTTTTATTGGTTGTTCATGAGCGTGTATTTTAATTTCCATGTATTTGTACAGTTTTTAAAGTTCTATCTGTTACTGATTTCTAATACTATTCGACTGTGGTCAAAAAAGATACTTGATATGAATTCAGTTTTTAAAAATGTGTTGGGTGACCGAGGCGGGATCACGAGGTCAGGAGATCGAGACCATCCTGGCTAACACGGTGAAACTCCGTCTCTACTAAAAATACAAAAAATTAGCCGGGCGTGGTGGCCGGCTCCTCCGGAGGCTGAAGCAGGAGAATGGCGTCAACCCGGGAGGCGGAGCTTGCAGTGAGCCGAGATAGTGCCACTGCACTCCAGCCTGGGAGACAGAGACTCCACCTCAAAAAAAAAAAAAAGTGTTGTGACTTGTTTTTTGGCCTAACACAGTCTGTCCTGTAGAATAATCGATGTGCCACTCAGTAGAATGAGCATTGTGCAGTTGCAGAGTGAAAAGCTGTGTAAATGTCTGTTAGGTCCATTCTGTATAGAGTACAGTTTAACTGATGATGTTTTGTTGTCTGGATGATCTGTCCGTTCGCGATAGTGGGGTGTTGATTACGGTGGAGTGTTGAGGTACTCTATTATTGTATTGCAGTCCCTCTGTCCTTTAAAGCCTGTTAATATTTGCATCTATATTTAGGTGCTTCAGTGTTGGTTGCATATGCACTTAACGGCTGTTTACTTGTTTCTCATTATATAATTATCTTTATTTTTTCTTTTTTTGAGTTAAAGGCTATTTTATCTAAGTATAGCTACTCCTGCTTTTTTTGTTTCCGTTTGTATGGAATATCTCTTATCATCCCTTGACTTTGTCTGTGTATGTCTTTATAGGTGAACTGAGTTCCTTGTAGGCAGGACATAATTGGGTCTTTTAATCCATTCAGCCACTCTGTCTTAATTTAATTTACATTCAAGATTATTACAGATAAAAACATACTACTGCCATTTTTTACTTTTTTGATTGTTTTGCTTTTTCTTTTGTTCTTTCTCCCTTCCTCTTTTCTTTCTGATCTCTTTTTATTTCTTCTCTTTCCTCCTTGCCTTTCTTCCTGTCTTTATTTGTAGTGAAGTAATTTTTTCTGGTAGTGTTTTAATTCCTTGGTTTTTATGTTTAGAGTGTCTGTTGATTTTTGTTTTCTGGTTACCATGAGGCTAAACAACATAACAAGTTACTTTAAACCGAAGAAAACTTAACTTTGATTGGTCTCAGCTACTCAGGAGGCTCAGGTGGGAGGACCGCTTGAGCCTGGGAGGCCGAGGTTGCAGTGAGCTGAAATCGCACCACTGCACTCTCCAGCCTGGGTGACAGAGTGAGACCATGTCTCACAAAATAAATAAATAAATAAAAATGCAATAGCTTTATAATGAATTCTGATTGTAAATTTGGAGATGATATATTAAGGTATAAAGAGGAAAGTGAAAATCATAATCTCATTACCCAAGGATAACTACTTCTAATGTTTTGGTACATACGCTTCCTAATTCATAATCCCCTCTCTTTTACACACACACAAATGTACACGTAAAATAGATAGACTTTACACACATAAAATTTTATTGTAACATTTTGAGAAACACGGTTTTGTAATTTTTTCTTTAAAAATATTGCAAATAAGTTCTGTGAATAACATATAATAACATACATCTTAGTTTTCAGATTTTGTTTTTTGCTCTTTGGGGTGGCAGGTTCGCTTTTGGCTAAAATGAATCGTCTCAGTATCTTTGATTTTCCTTCTCTCCTCTAAGCTGTTGCTTTTGGAAGGGGCGCCTGGATCTCCCTCCTATTTACTTGGGGGCAAACACATAGTATCAAGGGGTTTTGAAGACACGTTGCCTGTGGCAGATAGCAACACTGGCTGTAGTTCTGAAAATATTAGCGTTTTTGTCCTGTGATTAATACTAAGATGTAAATGAAGTGGTTTAGATCACTGTAGCAAATGACCTAGATATAACTGTGTGTGTGTTTTAGATCATTGTAGCCAATGATTTAGATACAACTCTGTGAGTACCTTTTAATTAAGGGCTCAAGATTTCTACACAGTATGTTCATTGTCTGCTTTATTTGTAGAAGTGTAAAAGCTGATACTTGGGTGATGTAAGAAAATGGATAGGTTTTACTATCACAAGGAAAAGGTAATATCCATACACTTTTGCCAAGGAGGCATGGGTTACTTAAATTGGCTTCTGGATATTGGAGTTTGGGTATGATAGCCTTACGTTGAATTTTTTGGTTACTGCTTGATAATATTTATTTCAGTAATTGTGTTTAGTAATTGATTGTGTGTGTTAATGAACAGTCCTGTCCTAAAAGCAAAAATGAAGTGGTTCAAGGGAGCATGAATTGTTAACATCTCCTTTAAACAAATAGGCTAGGTTAAAATTTTTTTACAGAGCTTTACAGTATTACGTGTGAGTTTATTACACTATTACATGTCAATAAAAATGGCAGCAGAAGCTCTCTTAACTGACTTGCCAGATGGATTAGATCTCTCCATTCACTCAATAAAATGTCCATTTTATTGAGTTTTAATCCATTCAGAATCCATTTAGAAATACTATCTTATTTAACCTGTACCCTGTTTCAACTAGCAACTGGATTATAAGAGATGTGTATTAAATATTTTAGAAGACAGATTCTTTTAAATAAATAAAAATTATCACACAGGCTGTCTTAAACTTTTAAAAAAGAGATCTGATTTTAGATTTGGTTAAAATACTAGCCTACATTAGTATTCTTTCTAGGAAATAAATATTCACATAAATTGTTTTTCCAGAAATTGGCCTTGAATACAGATTTCAGATCGTTGAAAACGGAACCATTTGAAATCTGCATTTCCTTTCCTTTTCCTAATTTATTTCAGTCGCTCAATAGGATTTTCTCATGGAATTAACTTTTCCCTCTCAGCGTAGTTACATAAGCTTGCTGTTGTAATCATGAAAAATAATTACCCATTTCAGCACTTACTAACGTGGACTTTACTTGAAGGGTCTCTGGTTTTAAAGTCAGAGCACATGGCTAGAGGCAGATGAAGAGTACCTCATCATTCATAGCCACTGAGTCTCTATAATTTTTAAATGCCTTTGGAAAGCTAGATCTCATACTCAAAAGCATGCTTTTGTGTTACAAATCTTTTAGTGAACTACTTACTCAGGTCATAATGCTTTTAAAGCCCTGTTTTTCTTTCCTCAGAATAAACTGAATTACATGTTACCAATAACAATGCCACATCATTTCAAAGGAAACTGAATTAAGTAATCCAAGTCCGGGTTGCTGAAAACTAGATGACACAGGGTAGGCACTGTTTTGGTTACCGTGCAAAGGATCTCTATTAGTCAGCTTGGGCTGCCATAATAAAATACCATAGAACTGGGTGGCTTAATTTTCTCACGGTTCTGGAGGCTAGAAGCTGTAGATCAGGGTGCTGCTGCTTCGGTTCCTGATGAGGGCTTTCTTCCTGGCTTATAGGTTGGCTGGCATCTTGTCCTCACATGGCAAAGGGGAGAGTACTGTAGTCTCACCTTGTCTTAAAACGACACCAGTTCTATCAGATTAGAGTCCCACCCCATGACCTCATTTAACTGTTAGTACCTCCTCACAGGCCCTGTCTCCAAATTTAGCTATATTAGGGATTAAAGATTCAACATATAAATTTTGAGAGGGCACAAACATTCAGTCCATAAAAGAAACTAGTTGTTTAATTAACAAGGATTGTTGAGCCCTGATATCTTGTTATACCTGCCTGTGTCCTTCCCCCATTCCCCTCCACTCTCATTTCCTCAAAAACACTCAGATAAGGATTTTTTTCAGATACTGTTATTGTTACTTATCAAACTACGTAGTAACATTATGAATTATAAATGTTATTAGCCATTGAGAAAGTAGCTGTGCACTGACTGACCCCAATTGACTGGGAGGGCTAGATGGTGCCTTCTCTGTGGTGGAAGATAGGTTGGAGAAATGTGGTTGGTAGCAAATGCTGTCTGATTTGAACAGCTTTGAAGAAGGCTGGTTCTAGTTGATTTCAGTTCTCTCCAGATGCCATTTGAATCTAAACCAATTTTCTAGTTCTTATCATTACAGAATTGTCTTCTGGAACAATTATTTCTTTTTGTGACTTGGTAGCAATATGGATGTAGTTTTCTGAATCATTAAGGCATTTTAACTCATCTTCCATTCTCTTATTTTTTAAGTCCTTTAGGTTGTTTGAGGGACATTCATCAAGGAAACCGGAGAAACTTAAAATGCTCTTCCGCTTCTTTGGAACAGTCACAGAGAAAAGTGAACTCCTTTCATTCTTGCAGTAATTTTTCTTGCTGATGGGAACAGTTCAAGTCAAGTGACATGTGAGTAACATTTTGTGTTTAACGTAAACCTTCCTGTCCCAACTACATTGAAACAGTAATGATGCGACAAGGTAACTTCGGTTTTATGCTTGTGTTGTGTATAAGCATAAATGTGTGCTATAAATGTAGGGGGGCGGGGTTTACATACTCTGAAATCGGACACATATTCTATACATCAAAACATTTTCATGAATAAAAACCAGAGAAACTATATTGACCAGGAAATAAATTTTGGATGCTCTTTATTTAAAGAAGCATTCACTAGTTTATTTGTATAAGTCAACTAACGCATTGCTTTTCTACCCATTCCTCTCTTTTGCGCCCCCCTAAGCCCTTTGTGGAGTTCTCATAAAACTGTTTTGTACTGAGTTTTATATCCATCTTCCTCTATTGAACCTTAACATTCTTGCTTCCCCAAAACCTGAAAGCAGCTGAGGCAGTAATAGTAAATGTCCAACAAATACTGGTAATGACCAACCGATAATAGATTGGTATTGCCACTCTTATCTCAGAAGCTGAATGACCGTGGTCAAGTTTCTTGACACCTCTAAGCTTCAGTTTTATCACCTATGAAATAATATAATAATGGTTATTATCTTACAGGGTAGTTATAGATATTAAACAAGGAGATACATGCTTAATAAATGTAAGCTATTATCAATGGGTAGCCTTTCCTACAAGTGGATGTAAACCAGAACACCTTAAAAGTTTCTTTGTGCTAAGTAGGTAATGTCAACCTGGTCAAGTGAAATGGCTTTTTTTCAGTTCTGGGTTGTAGGATTGTCTTAAAACATGTCTTTGAACAATTTTAAGGTCATTTTTCTCATATCCTTCTTTTACTCTTGCATGACAGTGTACTTGGCATCTTCCCCCTTGAATGTATTGCTATTGGACATTGTTAAATTTTTAGAATGAAATCAATTATCAGGATTTTAATATTTAAGGGAACATTATATGCTTCTCTGATACGGAATTATTTATCTCATAGCTTATTGAATTTCAGTTTTGTGCCCTGTACTGAATGAAATATTAAAATGCAGAATCATTTGGACCTATGAGACACAAAATCAAATTAGAATTTGTAATGACTTGTTAAAAAGATGACTACGTAAGGCCAGGCGTGGTGGATCACGAGGTCAGGAGTTCCAGACCAGCTTGGTCAAGATGGTGAAACCCCGTCTCTAATAAAAAATAAAAAAATTAGCCAGGCGTGGTGGCAGGAGCCTGTAATCCCAGCTACTCGGGAGGCTGAGGCACAAGAATCACTTGAACCCAGGAAGTGGAGGTTGCAGTGAGCTGAGATTGTGCCACTGCACTCTAGCCTGGGTGACAGAGCAAGATTATGTCTAAAAAAAAAAAGACTACTTTTTTTTGGCTATTCTAGGTCTAAGTAGAATTATTACTGTTGGTCTTTTTTGTTTTGTTTTTACAGTACTTTGAGTTGCCGTTTTAAGTAGAATTGTTATAACTAAGTAGTACAGAGTTTACTTTTTTGTCCTGGGAGTCAAATCATGTATGTCTTCTCTAAAAACTAACTTGGCTTTCTACATTTTAGGATTTCAGATACTTTGAGGAAAAAGCTAAAAGTTTGTTTTTTAAACTAGAAATGTATATGCCATTATAAGTATTTGGAATTTGAAGAAATAAATTATAACTAGACATTTTATTTTCTGACTTTTTTACTGTACATGTTAATTAAGTTCTTTGTAGAAATACAGTACAACATTGCTCTTGGTCTGCAGTATGTAAAGCTAACGGTTTAAAGAGGAAATCCTAAAGAGAATAAAAGAGGTTGCAGTATAATGAGTCGTTGTGTAGAAGTTCTGGAGCCTACTCAATAGACTTGAGAAGCTTATTTAAGGTACCATATTTCATCGAATCTAAGATGTCATAGATTATTTTTAAAAAGTGCTATTACATTATATACCTCTAAGAAGGAAAAAACACTCAGGACAGGGAGTTTAGTAGGAGACCTAACCCACAAGGCTGGTACACCTAGGGATAAATGAGAAATTAACTTGACCATCCAGAAAAGGGACCATAAAGAAGCATGCAAGTCTCAACCTTGACACTAAATAGAGAAAGAAAAAAACATTTCTCTGAGAATTTGAACCACAAGCCCTAAGCTTTGGGTGTGCAGCCTTACCACCAGTGTGGTCCACAAAGGCCTGCCACAAAGGATTAATTCAGATGGTGTTGGGCTGATAGTGTTCCCAGATGACAGCAGAAGCAGATGCACATCTTCTCTGGGAAAATTCTCCTCTAGTCTAGACCTATGGTAAGATACCTCCATTATAAAAGATGTATTCCAGTTTCAGAAATGTAGTATGTGGAAAAACCCGCCTTTTAGAATTGATAAAATAGAATTCCATCAGGACCAACTTTTCAGTGTTGTTAAACGTGTATTTTATATTTGATGAGGATCTTGAGACTGAAATGTTTTAAAAAGCCTTCTGAATTAAATTACTTTTTATATAGTTTTAGATAAAGTATCTTATAGATCAGATTTTTGAAAATTTATGACCTGTATGTAGTATATATTGTGATTTTATTATGGGAAGTATTTGATTAATCAGAGTATCCTATTCTGAGATGAAAGTTGCCTTGTTATGAAAAAGAAAGCTAACAGACATGCTCTCAAGGCATTTTTTGTTAATCTGAGAAACCATGTTCTTCTGCCTTTTCTTGCTTTGCCAGCAGTGTTTACGAATTTCTCTTAGCATCTCTTAGTATATATGAAGGACATTTGGTGTTCTTACTTCTCTGCTAAGTTACCGAATGACAAGAGAGATGTTTTCTATTATATTCATGGAATTGCATCTCTAGTGTTAGAGTTGTTTGACCACTTACTCGTGAGTTTTAAATATGTTATCCGTTTATCTTAAAGTTAGATATCTAAAGAATGTAAGACCTATGTTAACAAAAAATTTTGTTTTCTTCTGCAACTGTTCCGTATGGTTTTTGAGTGGTTCCTGCTTTTGACTGAGAACAAGGAAATGTGGAATTGTGCATAGGAATGAAATGATGGCCAGGCTTTCACTGGGTTATACACTGTCATCAGTAATAGTTCCTGACATCTCTCTCTTTCCTTAAGAGCTTTTTTCTATTCAAGAAAACAGAAATGGCATGGCCTTTTTAGTTTGCTCTTTGATTTGAGTCAGACAAATTACTTCTGGCCAGCTGATATATTTGTTTCTTTTGCTACTAGCTTTAAAAAATAAATAAATCTGACTAGAAAAGGATCTCATCCTCTTAAAATTATTGACTACATTAATACTACTCCATTTTGATCCTCCCAAATGTATTGCTTCTTGAAAAATATGTCATCTTTATTCTGTAAACTCTTAGAACCAGTAATTTCTTCTCTGGCTAAGACTGCTACTAACAAGTAGAGTGATTGCCCACTATCTAAGCCTGAAACTTAGCTTTACTAACTTCAGAGGATGTGCAAATGATTTTCTTTTTAAAGCTGTGGCATTTCACTTTACTACAAAGTACATAAATGTGTCTTTATTCACCAGTCTTTGAATGTAGGGTTAAGTCCTTTCTTTGTAAAGGAGTCTACAAATTTGAATTCAGTTTTGTCTTTACTGCATAAGCTGTACCAGTTATACATCCTTTTTTCCAATGGTTTTGTTTTTAAAAGTGTATTCAGCTTCAAAACTTTACCAAAAAGTACCAGCACTCAAATCCTACTGTTGTGCTGTTATTTGTATAGTTTCGTTTAGTGAAGTCTTACTGTTTTATAGGAGTTTCTACTGTAAGGATAATATTTTCAATCAATATTCTGTTATTTTCCAATGCTAGGCTTTGTATTTCCTGGTTAGTTTTATAGTCAATGTTAGACCTATTCTTTTATCGAGTGTGTGTGCGCGCGCATGCACGTGTGTGTGTATAATGTTTTCAAAATTGAAACTTATTTTGGGTATGTTTTTCTTTTATTGCTTCTGTAGAACCTACTGGGTTGGTGACATTTACAAGACAGAGTCTTGAGGATTTTCCAGAACGGGAAAGGTAACAATAATAATAAAAATAATCCTAGACCCCTAGAATTAGAAGGACTCTTGCACTATGAGAGGATTCTATTTTAGAGCACCTGGAAAGATGGTTTTCCAACCTCTATCCTAGTGCCAGGGAATTTCTTCTCAGAAGTGATCCATCGATAGCTCTCATTTTTGAAAAGGTTATGCCTTTTAAATCAAAGTCTGTAACCCTTTGATTTCTACCATTTTGTCTTGGTTTTGTCTTCTGAAAGAAAGTGGTGTTTAAAATTGAGGAGTGTTGTATGTGAAGACACTAATAAAAGGAACGCCAATATATAAACGTTTCTCCTTACCCTTTTTTTGGTTAGTGTTTGAACTTTATGGCTTTTCTTTCTGGAGGACAAGATTGAGAAAAGTCTTTTTATTATTTACATTTTAGTAAATAGTAACCGTCTAGAGTTTGAGTGGCAAGAATTTTGAAGTTTGGCTGCCCTTGTGTACTACTGGTAGATTTTCTGCAAGTTGCTATTTACTGTTTGTTTCTTATTTATCAGAAAATAATTGAGGAGATAGCAGCCAATCTGAGCTAATTCAGATTTGTAAGGTCCTTAGTGTCCTGAAATAGTTAACATATTTCTTAATCTAAAGCAAGTCCCCCAATGCACTTAAGTGTGGATTAACTTTTTAAATATGTTTGAGGACATGGTGAAGCATACTAAACACATATTTAACCAATGCTTCCCATTTTCACTTTCTAATAATTTTATGATAGTTTGTAATTGTTTTGTTTGGAATTAGTGATGAATGGAAATCACTTAAAAAAAAAGTTGAGAAGTCATATCTGCTTAGGTGGCTTTCCTGCGGTGTTTTCATCCATCAAAGATGTTTATTTGTGAAGGGAAAGATAAAGAAATTTACTTCAGAAGACTGAGTGTATGGTTTAGGTGATTATTAATAGAGGGAAGTAGATAAAAGGTTAAGAAACCTGAAGAGAGAAAAAAAATGAGCCAGAAAAAGATGAGAACATGTACAGCATTTTGGCATCATGCCATGTCAGATCTGAAAGGAACCCCAGCCGCCTACTAAAACTCTCAATAGCTCTGTAATACCTGCAACAGTTGGAAACTGGATAGCTTCAGTGACGGCAAATCCGCTGTTGCACATCAGTTTGTTCCATTGGTGGCTGCTTGTGTTATCATCTCATGCTTTCATTCACTAAAAATGTTTTCTACATTCATTCTCCACTATTCCTGGTTCTTCCTTCTAGAGCTATGTAAATAAATCTGAATTTCTAGTTTTCTTTAAGATTTGACCTTCCTTCATGTATCTTAATGGCTTCTTGACCTATTTTCCTCTCCAAAAGTGCATACAAGTTCATACTAAACTGATTCATTTCTTCTATTTCACATGTAATATGGAGTCTAAACCCTTTATCTCTGCTCTTAACAGAGTAGATTGGTTGCAGTTTCTTGGGTGCAGGAATGAAAAAATGAGTACATTTGCCTCAGCCTCCCATATAGCTGGGACTGTATAGGTGCATGCCACTACACCTGGTTAATTTTTGTATTTTTTGGTAGAGACGGTGTATCACCCTGTTGGGCCAGGTTTGTCTTGAACTCCAGACCTCACTGCCTGCCTTGGCCTCCCAAATTACTGGGATTACAGGCATAAGTCACTGCGTCTGGCTTGGGGGAGTTACTGTTGAAGTATTGTCTTTGTATCCCAAAGCAGGCCCTTCTGAAACTGATGATGTTGATGAAAAACTCCTTCTACTGAAGTCTTTGCAATGTATAATCTTTTCACTTCCATTTTCCTACATACTGTTTCTATTGGTTCTTTGTATTCCACAGACTGTGTTTTAGTATTTATAAGTATAGTGTTCCTTTTCTATGTGGAAAAGGGAAAATGTATTGGCCTTTTTTTAACATATAAATGAACTTCACAAGCAACAATTTTTCAAATCAGTTTTCCCTGTTGTGAATCTCGAAGTGGGTACATGATGCACTTTCCCATTTAAGGTAAAGTACACATTTATCCCTTATCTCAGAACAGTCAGAAGTCAGGTTCTTATTGTATGGTTAGTAATGCAAATATTGATAAGGTCATGTCAATACTTAGTATTTAGAAGAATTCTGAAATAGCACTTGTTACTCTGTAAGTTTTATGCATTTATTACTTTTTTTGAATTTTGTATAATGTTCCCAAACTTGACTGCCTTACTTCTATCTCTTCTGGCCTCAAGTACAACAAGATGTATTTTCTTTAGATTTAGCATATAATATAAATTCAATTGTTTATTTCAGATTTTGAAAGAACAAAGAGGAACTACAGAATCATTGCTTACATTGACACCGGCCCTGTTGTCCCAATGGATGGGTTTTTTTTGGATGAACGTCAAAATTGACCCTGCTGTTAAAGCTTGAAACTTGGATCTGTTGTATCTGAGTTCTCTCCTCAAAAAAAGACCTTCAGGAAGTATCAGATAACTGAAACATACCAGATCACAGCACCACATGCCTCCTGCCCCTCCCTAATTTCTGTTCTCTTATACATTGTTAAATTTTTTTCCTGCCCCTATTAGTCAAGCCCATGGATTTGAGACTGAGCTCCCAGCTCCTGGGCCGCAGCACCAGGTTAAAGCTTTCTTCCTTGGCAGTACTTGTCACCTCAGTGACTGGCTTTTTCTCCGATGAGCAGGAGGACCTGGACGAAACCCCTAGTGTTTGGGTAATAACATGAACGACCATCTTAACTGTTATTCTTTATTGAAATTTTACTTTTTAACTACTGGCCTCTTGTTCATTATCTCCCATTCTTTTGACTTCATATCTCTTTTTTCGTTGACTTTACAGTCAAGGAACTTGATGCTCCCTAAATCCAAATATTACGGTTAAAAGAAGAGAGAGGAAATGTGTGCAGAGAAAGTGTATTTTACAAATGAATTAAAGGTGGATTCTGAGATACAGGTTTATAGATTTACCTAGAGTTTTGAGTTCAGGTGAGTTTTCACAATATGCAGTAAGTGGAAAAGAATCCCAAAATAATTGTGACATGAAAAAGCTAGATGTTGAAAACCAAAAAGATTTCACTTTGGTATGGCACTTTTAATTCAAGAATACTAGCCACCAAATGAGTTTTTCTGACTGTAATCATTGCTCTTTAAAAATTGAGATGTATTTATAACTTTTGTTTGACTTTTAGTACAGCTTCTGAATTTAGTTATCAACAGATAGGACAAAATAGATGAGCATCTGCTTCCCTTCCCCCTAAACAATGTATTCTTACCGAAATGTAATATATTTTTATTTATACTTGAAGACAGTGTTTTTCAATCTTTTCCATGTTAGTAGCTCAGATCTTTAAGGACAGAGGATGTGTACTGGGGGCAGTTTGTGGTCTTAATCCTAAGTGGCACTCTGATATTTTAGATTATTTCTTTCATATTTGTGAGTAAAACTTCTGCTCCAGTAGGATGAGCCTGTTTACCTTGTGACTGCCTAACAGATCTGTTGCTTTATATGCCAGTTTTTAGAAGCAGGCAGATTACGTTACTTGGATTAAAATGTTTTTGACACTAAAGGTAGTATCTTAAATTTTTACATATGAGTTACTTTAAGTACAACTTTGCTTAAATTATGGGGATCGAGTTTCCATAACTTTCACCATAGTGAAAATGGAAAGCAGGGAACATTCCACAGCAAATCCTGAACTTACTTACAGAGTTAATTGAGCAAAGCAGGCATTCACACTTGTGTGTGTGTGTCAGTGACAGATGAGCATGGTACTTGAAGCATAATTGTGCTGCTTCAGATTCCAATATCCAGTAATTTTATCATGTAGCTAGAGTAACTAATATTAAGTCCCCAAGCCTACTTGGGTCTACTGTATTTGTATTTTAAAAGAATGTTTTTAAGCTACCAAATAGACATGTTATATATTTCTTCTGAATTAGAAAACGTTATTTGGATTAATAGAGTTAATAGAATCATATTTTATGTTTATTATGTCTTTTTTTCTTTTTTCATGAGATGGAGTTTCACTCTCGTCACCCAGGCTGGAGTGCAGCAGCGCGATCTCAGCTCACTGCAACCTCCGTCTCCTGGGTTCAAGTGATTCTCCTGCCTCAGCCTCCCGAGTAGGTGGGATTACAGGCCCCTGCCACCACGCCTGGCTGATTTCTTGTATTTTAGTAGATATGAGGTTTCACCATGTTGGCCCAGGCTGGTCTCGAACTCCTGAACTCAGGTAATCTGCCCTCCTCAGCCTCCCAAACTGCGGGGTTTACAGGTGTGAGCCACTGCACCTGGCCTATTATGTCTTAAAAGTGCTTGCATCGTCACCTAGATTATTTTTTATCTTTCAATGTGAGTTTTTATTGGTTTATATGTTGTTTGTTTTCTTTTTAGGAAGCCATCATTCTTTAGAGGGCAATGACCAAACAGTACCAGCAGAAATTGAAGTACCAGCAGAAGGCTAAGAAGGTTAGGAGAAAAAGACATTTTGTATTTTACTGTTATTTTCTTTTTTTTTTTTTAGACGAAGTCTTGCTCTGTCACCAGGCTAGAGTGCAGTGGCACGATCTCGGCTCACTGCAACCTCTGACTCCCTGGTTCAAGTGATTCTCCTGCCTTAGCCTCCTAAGTAGCTGGGATTATAGGCACAGACCACCACATCCAGCTATTTTTTGTATTTTTGGTAGAGACCAGGGTTTCACCATGTTGGCCAGGATGGTCTCAATCTTTTGACCTCCTGATCTACCCACCTCGGCCTCCCAACATGCTGGGATTACAGATGTGGGCGCTTGGCCACCTCCTCTTGGGAGAAATGCACTGATTCTGGTTGCCACGTGGATTTATTTTGGGAGTGATATTCATCTAACTTCATGGAAATAGTACTAGATAGAAAGTTAGCGGATGAATTCTCTATCTGATGAGAGTTTTGGGCAAATCGAATACCAAGTTACCAAGTTTTGTTTTTTTCTCTGATGCAAAAAAACAATTTGCCAGCCAGTGAAAAACTCTCACAGCTCTGGATGTGAGTTTAGGATACTGGATTTCTACCATTCAATTTCTTACTACTTTTCTTGCACAGGGATCATGGCACAAGCTGCAGTTTCCACCCTGCCCATTGAAGATGAGGAGTCCATGGAAGATGAGGAGTCCGTTGAAGATGAGTCTGTTGAAGATGAGTCCGCAGAGAACAGGATGGTGGTGACATTGCTCATATCAGCTCTTGAGTCCATGGTGAGACCTTCTGTTCTAACATTCTGTAATTGGGTAGTACTGGGTGGTAGATAAGGTTGATTTGTTTTTGTAGAATTTATAATTTTATGATTTATAGTTCTAATGAGTAGATCTTTTTCTTGAATAGTAGTTACGGTCAAACACTTCTGACCAAATGTGCCATGTTGTCCAGCCTGGTCTCAAAATTCGGGGCTCAAGAGACCTGCCCACCTTGGCCTCCCAAAATACTGGGATTACAGGTGTAAGCCCCTGAATCTGGCCAGATATTTTTCTTTTTATGGCTGAATAATACTCTGTGTATGTATATATTACATTTTCTTTATCCATTTACCTACTGATGGGCATTAGGGTTGGTTCTACCTTTTGGCCACTGTGAATAATGCTGCTGTTAAACGGGTGTACAAATACCTGTTTGAGTCCCTGCTCTCAGTTATTTTGGGTATATACACTTAAAGGGTGTTGGTGGATCATATAATTCTGTGCTTAATATTTTTAAGGAGCTGCTAAACCATTTTCCACAGTGGGCTGTACCATTTTACATTCCAAAAGGCAATGCATACAGCTTCCAATTTCTCTATAGCATTGCTGACAGTTAATATTTTCTGTTTATGTACTGTATTTTTATAGTGTTTGAAATTAATCTGAGGGTTTTTGCTGATACCAAAATATTAGGAAAGGTTTTCCAAAAATAATACTGCTTATTATAAAGAATTTTATGTGTTACTTGATGCCCTGTGATCCATTTTCTCAGTAAGAAGAGGAACTACTCGGCTGGGCGCAGCAGCTCATGCCTGTAATCCCAGCACTTTGGGAGGCCGAGGCAGGTGGATCACAATGTCAGGAGTTCAAGACCAGCCTGGCCAACATAGTGAAACCCAGTCTCTACTAAACAAACAAACAAAAATTAGCTGGGTGTGGTGGCGGGCACCTCTAATCCCAGCTACTTGGAAGGCTGAGGCAGAGAATTGGTTGAACCTGGGAGGCGGAGGTTGCAGTGACCGAGATTGCGCCACTGCACCCAGCCTGTGTGATAGAGTGAGACTCCATCTCAAAAAAAAAAAAAAATGGAAAGAAGAGGAACTTCTCTCCATTCAACCTCATTCCACTGCACCAACTCTTCTGTGTCGGGTTGTGCAGGGGAGAAAGGGAGCTTGGCACCTCTTTGCTGTGTTGAGTTGTGGTAGCCCATCACTGGGTTGTAAAGTGCCTTGCCTCCTCCCCCCACCTTTTTTTTTGAGACAGAGTCTCACTCTGTCACCCAGGCTCAGGTGCAGTGCTGAGATCTCTGCTCACTGCAACCTCAGCCTCCTGGGTTCAAGCGATTCTCCTGCCTCAGCCTCCCAAGAAGCTGGGACTATAGGCACGTGCCACCACACCTGGCTAATTTTTTTTATTTTTAGTAGAGACGGTATCACCATGTTGGCCAGGCTGGTGTTGAACTCCTGACCTCAAGTGATCCACCCACCTTGGCCTCCGAAAGTGCTGGGGTTACAGGCATGAGACACTGCGCCCATCCACCTCCTCTTTTACTTGGGAGAAATGCGCAGATTCTGGGTGCCATGTGCATTTGTTTTGGGAGTGATACTGATCTAACTTATGGAAATAATACTAGATAGAAAGTTAGTGGATGGATTCTCTATCTGATGAGAGTTTTGGGCAAAACGAATTCCTAGTTTCTGAGTCTTATTTTTCCCCTGATTCAAGAAAACTGTGAATTATCCAGCCGGTGAAAAACTCTCACAGCTCTGGATGTGAGTTTAGGACACTGGATTTCTACCACTCACTTTCTTACTACTTTTCTTGTGCAAGGATCATGGCACAAGTTGCAGTTTCCACCCTGCCCATTGAAGATGAGGAGTTTGTTGAAGATGAGGAGTCCTTGGAGAGCAGGATGGTGGTGACATTCCTAATGTCAGTTCTCGAGTCCACGGTCAGACCTTCTGTTCTCACATTCTGTAGTTTGGTAGGACTGGGCAGTAGATAAGGTTGATTTATTTTTGTAGAACTTACAATTTTATGATTTTCAGTTGTAATGAGTAGACCTTTTTCGTGAATAGTAGTTATGGTTAAACACCTCTAACCAAATGTGCATGTGGAGTTTCTACACTGATTTTCAGACAATCTGGATCCCAACTGGGTATCCCACAATTCCATCCTGACACTCCCTGGAGTTAGTGCAGACCCCGCAGGATGGGGGCTCAGTCCCAGGAGTCTACCCTCACTCCACATGCCAATTGCAAGTCTTGGGTTGTCACATGTAGTTTTGACCGACCAGTTAGAAAACAGGGTTTCATGACCCCGTTGCTGGGTGGAATCATTTGCTCGGACAGCTTGCAGAACTCAGAAAAACAGGTTTTTTTTTTTTTTTTTTTCTGAGATACAGGGTCTCAGTCTGTTGCCAGACTGGAATGCAGTGGTGTGATCAAAGCTCACTGTAGCATGGGACTCCTGGGCTCAAGTGATCCTCCCACCTCAGCCTCCCAAATAGCTGAGACTACAGGCCCGCACCAGCATATCTGGCTAAGTTTTTTTATTTTTTGTAGAGAAGGGGTCTTGTTATGTTGCCCAGGCTGGTCTCAAATTTCTGGGCTCACATGATCCTCCCACTTCAACTTCACAAAATGCTGGGATTATGGGTGTGAGCCACTGCATCTCACCAATTTACTTTCTTTTACTGGTTCATTTTAAAGGCTATATCTCAGAAACAGCCGGTGAAAGAGATGTACATGCTGGGCACAGTGGCTCATGCCTGTAATTTCAGCTCTTTGGGAGACTGAGGCGGGAGCATCGCTTAAGTGCTCAGGAGATTAAGACCAGCCTGGGTAACACGGCGAAAACACATCTCTACAAAAAGGTTTTTCTAAAAATTAGCCAGGTGCAGTGATCTATAGTTCTAGCTACTCAGTGCCTATAATTCTAGTTACTCAGGAGGCTGAGGTGAGAGGATGAGAGATGGGGCTTGAGCTAGGGAGGCATAGGTCGCAGTGAGCCACGATTGTGCCACGGCACTCTAGGCTGGGGGACAGAGCCAGACCCTGTTTCAAAAAAAAAAAAAAAAACCACAGGGCAAGGTGTGTCGGGAGGTCGGGAGGGGTGCAGAACTTCCATGCTCTCTATTGCGCGTGTTACCTTCCTGCTATCTCCCTTGTGTTCAGCAACCCCGGCATTCTCCAAATCTGGTTGTTGAGGTCATTTATGAAGGCTTCTTTAGGCAGGCATGATAGATGAAATCATTGACTATTGGTGATTAAGTCAGTCTTCGGCCACTATTTCTTCCTGGAGCCCAGTGGGTGAGGCTGACAGTTCCAAGCCTCTAATCACATGGTTTGTTCTTCTGGCAACCAGCCCTTTTTCTTAAGCTGTCTAGGAGCTTTCAGTCACCCAGTCATCTCAGTAACATCACCAAATGCATTCTTACTATGGTGATCCCAAAGGTCTTAGAGGCTCTTCTGTTAGAAACCTGGGACTAAGACCAAATATTCAAACAAAAGATGGTCCTATCACCTTTATCACCAAGGCCTTTATAAGAACTTGAGAAGCTCTGTGCCAGGACGAGGGGCAGAAACCAAATGTGTATTTCTTTTCTTTTTCTTTTGAACACAGAGTCTCTGTTTCACCCAATCTGGAGTGCAATGATGCAGTCGTAGCTAACTGCAGCCTCAACCACCTGGGCTCAAGCAATTCTCCCGCCTCAGCCTTCCAAGCATCTGGGACTACAGGTGCACACCATCCATGCCCAGCTGATTTTTGTATTTTTTTGTAGAGATGGGATCTTGTTATATTGCCGAGGCTGGTCTTGAACTCTGGGGCTAAAGCAATCCTTTCACCACAGCCTCTCAAGTAGCTGAAACTACAGATGCATACCACCACGCCCAGCTAATTTTCTCTTATTTCTTTTTGTTGTTTAATTGTGGGGGGGGATCTCACTGTGTTTCTCAGGCTGGTCCCGAACTTCTGGCCTCAAGCATTTCTCCTGCTTTGACCTCCTAAACCGTTGGGATTATGGTTGTGAGCCCCGGCCTCTGTGTCCAGCAATCACAAGAGGTCTTTATAAGTGAAAGAGGGAGGTAAGAGAGTCAGAATTGAAGGAGATTTGATGATGGAAGCACAGGTCACAGAGGGAGATTTGAATATGCTTTGCTTCTGGCTTTGAAGATGCAGTTAGGGGCCATGAGGCAAAGAATAGGGGTGGCTTTCGGAACTGGGAAAGGCAAGGGAACACCTTCTCTCTGGAAACTCCAGAAGGGATGCAGTCCTGCTGACACCTTGACTTTAGCCTTAATAGACCTATTTTGGACTTCTGGCCCCCAGACCTGTTAGGTAGTAGATTTGTGGTGTATTAAGCCACTCAACATAGGGTAGTTTGTAACAGCAGCAAGAAGAAATGAACATGAAGCCAGGGGTAGTGGCCCACACCTATAATTCCAGCTATTTAGGAGGCTGAGGCAGGATGGTTGCTCTGGCCCAGGAGTTCAAGATAAGCCTGGGCAACAAAGTGATACCCTGTCTACATGGGGAAAAAAAATTAGCGGGTGTAGTGGCATGCACTTGTAGTCTTAGCTACTAGAGGCGCTGAGGCAGGACGATTTCTTGACCTAGGAGTTCCAGGTCTCAGTGTGTTGTGATCGTGCCATGGTGCCCCAGCCTGAGTGACACAGCGAGACTATATCTTAAAAAAAAAGTAAAAAGAAATGAGTGAGCATGGCAGGAATGGGGACACATAGCAATATTAAATAGAGTGGTCAGGGTTGGCCTCCTAAGTGAAAATTGAGCAAAGACTTGAAGGAGGGGAAGGAGCTGGCCAAGGTACTGAGGGAAGAGCATTGTAGGCAGAAACAACAGAATAAAGGTGCTAAGAGGGAACTCCGTGGTGTGTCTGAAGCTCAGGAAAGAGGCTTGTCGAGCAGAGAGAGGGAGAGAAGGTAGGGGAGGAGGCCAGGGAGTTGTGGGACTCAGATCAGTACAGATTGTGCAAGCCCTGGGAGGCTATTGCTGGGGCTTTGGCTTTTATGCTGAGATGGGAGATGCGGAAGGGTTCTGAGCAGAGAGGTGACACGAACTGTCTATTGATTTAAAAGCATCCCATGGTGGCTGAGTTGAGAAAGATTGTGGGAAGATTTGGGTAGAAGCACGGAGGCCAAGCTGTGGCAACATCCAGGTAGGAGATGATAGTGGTTCTGACCAGGGTCCTGGCAATGGTGAGAGATGGTTGATTCTTGTTGAGATACTAAGTAATTAAAAAAAAAAAAAAAACATTACTGCTTTTCCTGATTATATGAAGTATGGGATGCTAGATTAAAGACATCTTAAGTCGGGCCAGGTGCAGTGGCTTATGCCTGTGGCGTCAGCACTTTGGGAGCACTTTGGGAGGCACAGATGGCACAGATGGGAGAATTGTTCGAGTCCAGGAGTCTGAGACCACCCTGGGCAACATAGCAAGACCTCCTGTCTATGCAAATAAAAATTAATAAAATATAATTATCATGGGATAGTGGTATTTTCCTGTAGAACCAGTTACTCTGGTTGTCGAGATGGGCAGATCTCTTGAGGGTGGGAGTTTGAGGCCAGCTTGGGCAACATAGCAAGGCTCCTCTTTCTACAAAAAAAAAAAAATCATCTGGGTGTTGTGGTCCCAATGAGGGACAGCATTCCTGAGACTTTTTAAGTACTTTGTGTGATGGTCTAATAATCATAGCCTTAAAACTTTCTGGCTGGGCATGGTGGCTCACACCTGTAATTCCAGCACTTCGAGAGGCCGAGGCGGGTAGATCATCTGAGGTGAGGAGTTCGAGACCAGCCTGGCCAATATGTGAAACCCTGTCTCTACTAAAAATACAAAAATTAGCCAGGCATGGTTGCAGCACCTGTAATCCCAGCTACTCGGGAGGCCAAGACAGGAGAATTGCTTGAATCCGGGAGGCAGAGGTTGCAGTGAGCTGAGATGGGCCACTGCACTCCAGCTTGGGCAGCAGAGTGAGACTTGGTCTCAAAGAAAAGTTATTGTGATATGCTGTACACATTCACAAATTCAGTGTCTCCCAGAAGTGTGAGATTCTTTTTTTTTTTTTTTTTTTTTGAGACAGAATTTCACTCTTGTTGCCCAGGCTGGAGTGCAATGGTGTGATCTTGGCTAACTGCAACCTCCACTTCATGGGTTCAAGCAATTCTCCTGCATCAGCCCAAGTAGCTCCTGCCTCCCAAGTAGCTGGGATTACAGGCATGTGCCACCATGCTCAGCTAATTTTTTATTTTTAGTAGAGTTGGGGTTTCTCCACGTTGGTCAGGCTGGTCTCGAACTCCCGACCTCAGGTGATCCACCCGCCTCGGCCTCTTGAAGTGCTGGGATTACAGGTGTGAGCCACCATGCCCAGCCAGAAAGTTTTAAGGCTATGATTATTAGACCATCACACACACACAAAGTACTTAAAAAGTCTCAGGAATGCTGTCCCTCATTGGCCTGGTATGACAAAGATAAGAAGTCGGTCGTGAAAATTTCTGAATGTGGTTTAGGACAAGGAACCCCAGTAAGATTCAGAGACAACCTAGAAAATTGAAAGAAAATTTTACTACTGAAATCATCCTTCTATAAAAAATAATAGAAGATGTCAAATATGAAAATAAAACTGTCCTCTGGGCCCTCAATTTTCTGTGTTATGGGAGAAGGCAGACAGCTACTCAGCAGTTATATCCCATAAGAATGGATAATACTAAAACAACTGACAGCGTCAAGTATTGGTTAGAAAGTGGAACTGATTCTCTCATTTTCATTGTAGTTTAAGATGGCATAACCACTTAGGAAAATGTCTCCCCATTTCATACAATGCCAAATATATACTTATTTTATAACCCAGAAAATCCACTCTTATGTACTTAAACTCAAGAAAAGTGAAAATATTATTACAGAAAAAAATATGTATATCTGATTTGTTCGTAGCAGGTTTATTCATGATAGCCTCAAATCAGAAACTGCTTTTGTGTCTATCAATAGTGGAATGGATTAAAAACAAAACAAGCAAAGGCCTCAAACCTGTGGTATAGTCATAAAATTGAATATTACAAAATAATGAATAATCAATAGGAGCAAAATGATGTGTCACAAGCATGTTTAGTGAGTGAACATAAAAATTATATAATTTATAGTTTCACTTACATAAATGGTGAAAACAGACAAAACTAACCTTTTGTGGAAAGAATCAAAACCGTGGAAGCCTCTGTGTTCAAATACTGACTGGAAATGGGCAGGAGAAAACATGTTTCTGCCAGATCTTCTATATGCCTGATGTGCATTCACTCGATGTATTTTGCGTATACTATTTTTGCAAATAAAACTGAGATAAAGGCAAAATAACTCAAGAGAAAATAGGTAGAAATAGGTAGAGTTGGGATAGAAGCCTTTGAAGCTACCCCCGTACCTTGCCCACCTGGCACAGGCCGAGGAAGTCCTGGGACAATGCTGTGAGCGACCTGAGGGCCGTCCAGGGGAGCCCCGCCAGCCCATGCTGGCGCCCGAGCTGCCCGCCGCCATCTGAATATGTTGCAAAGACAGTGCTGGCCTGGCAACCGGTGACGCTCCACGCCCCACCCCGACCCCCACTTCTACCCAAGTAGTGGCTACGCTAGAGACAGATTCCTGGGCGGCAGCGGTTAAGTCTGGCAGTTGGCCAGGTGGCCAAAGGACGGGAACTGGCCGTTCACCCCATCCCAGTTCCACAGAGAACTCAACCACTATGGCCCCTGAGCGGACCTTCAGGCCTGGTGGGCTGTGCTCTGTGCCCGCAAACCTGACGCCATCCAGGGGAGCTCCGCCTTCCCGCGCCAGCGCCTCGGCTGCTGCAGAAAACTGCAAAACTGCAAGTTGCACACGGGCAGAGATGACGGAGCAACCCCCGACCCTCCGCGCCACTCACCCTACCTGCACACCTGCCGCGCGGACCCTGGGGCGGGTGCCTGGGTGCCCAAGTCAGGCAGTCCGCACAGCAGTGGCACCAGGGTGAAAACCTGCTGCTCGGTACCATCCCGGTTACCACGAAGAGCCAGTCCCGGCGGCCCCTGCGTTCTTGGAGGAGGCCAAGTCAGAGCAACCTCTCAAGTGGGAGGGCGATGCACTTGACCCTGAGGACATCAGGTACCAGGCCCGCCAGCTCACGCCGGCATCGGAGCCGCAGCTGCAGTCTAGACGTGGTGCACCGGCAGCAAGTGACTGGACACTCCAGACCAGGCCCGCCCCGCAGTAGCGTGGATCCTGAGGCCAGACCCCCAGGCGGCAAAATCAGGCAACCGGCCCCGCCAGCAGCCGCTGTTTCATCCGTGTGGACACAGAGTGCCCAGCGCCAGGGCCCAGGATCCAGAAAGATGTCCAAGAGGAGCGGACCTTGAGGCCAGGTGGGCTGTGCGCTCTGCGGCCCTGAGGCCATCCAAAGGAAGCTCCGCCATCCTGCGCCAGTGCCAGATCTGCAGCTGCAAACCGCGCGTGTGGCACTGGCAGCAGTGAGGGCGGGTGGGGGAAGGAGCAGCCCCTGACTCTGCCTCCATCCCTCTCCAGCTACCTGACACTAGCCACACAGACTTCAGGGCCAGAGCCTCAGCGTTCAGCCAATCCGCGAAGCCACTCAGGTGGCCGCGGAGTGCCCTTGCCAGCACCCTATCTCCCTTCTGAGGAGGAGCGGGGCGGGCTGCAAGGCCAGACAGGCCCTCTTTCTCAGGCCGGGCTGGCTGCGCGCCTGCGATCCTGGGGCCGCCCGGGCGATCCCAGGAGAACCGGCGAGCCCATCGGCGCACGCCCAGAGCTGCAGCCCCACCTGCTGGCGCGCGCCGCCAGGGAGCGTCTTCCGGGAGCCCGGCAGCAACCGCGGTGCAGGCGCGCTCCGCCAGGGACCGTCTTCTGGGAGCTCGGCAGCAACTGCCGTGCAGGCGCGCGCCCAACGGCTTTGCGAGGCTCACTCGGTCTGAGAGGTCGGAGGCTGCGAGTGTCGCTGCTGAAGGCTGTGGTGGACCGGGCTGGATCGCGGATTGTGGAGTAGACCATAGATTTGAAATAGCGGAGTTGGGGTTGGATCGGGGCTTTGGGGTTGGATAGGGGATTTGGGGCTGGGTCGGCCGGGGTCGGGGAGGGGGGTGGTGAAAAGGTGACAGGGAGCTGCCCCCGCTCAAGAGCCGGTGGTTGGGGGTCTGAGAAGAAGTCACCAATATGAAGTTATTCGGCTTCGGGAGCCGCAGGGGCCAGACGGCCCAGGGCTCCATAGACCACGTCTACACGGGTTCCGGATACCGAATCCGGGACTCCGAACTGCAGAAGATCCACAGGGCAGCTGTCAAAGGCGACGCCGCGGAGGTGGAGCGCTGCCTGGCGCGCAGGAGCGGAGACCTGGACGCCCTGGACAAGCAGCACAGGTAGCGGGGGCTCAGCCCGGGGTGGGAGGGGGCCCCCAGGCCCGGCTTCCCCGCAGACCCTGGGACGGGGCCTTGCAGGGCGCCGGGCACCCTCGGAGCGGCGGAGCCAAACGGACTCTCAGCTGTTTTCCATCCCTCATAATTCCCTGGCTGGAGCAGTTGGAGAATTTGAGTGATTTAACTCACAAAGTTAAGCATATACAGCGTTGTTATTTTTAACGTACACGTTTAAAACATGGTTTATATACATTATAGGAGGTGCCTAATGAGAGAACTCGTTCCCCTATCAAAAATAACCGTGAGTTGTTTCAGTGGGCGAAAAGTTCTCAGATAAGAGAGCTTACTTGAAAAATATTTACTATATTATATATATATATTTTTTTTTCAGATGAAAAGTATGTTTTCATTTTATAGGGAATTCATTATATTCTTTTTTTTTTTTTTTTGAGTCAGAGTCTCGCTTCTTTGCCCAGGCTGGTGTCCAATGGCACAATCTTGGCTCACTGCAACCTCTGCCTGCCGGGTTCAAGCAATTTTCCTACTTCAGCCTCCCAAGTAGCTGGGATTGCAGGCAGGTGCCAGCATGCCTGGCTAATTTTTGTATATTTAGTTTCACCACGTTGGCCAGGCTGGTCTCGAACTCCTGACCTCAAGTCATCTGCCCGCCTCCACCTCCCAAAGCGCTGGGATTACAGGTGTGAGCCACCGCGCCTGGCCTATGTTGTTTATTATATATCATAAGATATATATATATTACTGATATGTATACATATATAACACATATGTTATATATATCAGTTATATATACACATTAGATGAAAAGTACCTCTTCATTTTACAGGGAATTCTTTCAAATCAAATCATCAAACACTCTAAAAGTGGGCAAAGTACCTTTTTCCAGATCTACAAGTTACTTATATACATAGGAAAAAATCCTTCGCATTTCTGGTATAAGAATTTAAACTAAAAGAGGAATGAAACAGTTTTCTATCCACAATATTTGTGAGGATGTTTTATACTGCTGCTTAAAGTTGCTGATTACTTTTCAAAGTACTCATTTGAAAATGGTAAGTACTACATTTAAAAAATGTGTATGCCCTTTACCCACCAATTCCATTATACTAAAATACCCTTAGGAAATAAAGATACATGCACTTTATTTTTCACAGTACTTACTTTAAAGAGAACCCATAGAATGGATCCTATAAATAAATTTCAGTTGCATCCATAGGATGGAATAATATGTGACCACTGAAGGTGGCAGTAGATACAGAAGTACGTTGATGTGCAAAGATGTATTTTGTTATAGCTAGCAAGGAGAAAAAAATTAGTTAAATTATACATACACAAACATACTATGGTCTTGTTTTAGCAAAAATATGTACAAAATATAAAATTTGTAATTTCTGAGCATTTGTATTTTAAGTAAAGTTTTTTTCCTTTTTCTTATCTGTGATTGCTGCAGTGAGTACAAAACTTCTAGTAAAAGTTTATTATTAATGGACTAATCCTTGGGAAGAGAGGAATATGAATCTTGCGCTGATGAAAATAATTTCTCACTTTCTATTCTTTATCATTATTGTGTGTGTTGTTATCTTCTTTGAGCTTTTAGCCTCTTCAGAAGTAAAAAGGGAATGTTTTTATCTGTTTCAGATTTTATTATCTATATATTTTATTATGTACATATGTTTTGCTTATATACTCATTCCATTTATGCAAACATAATCATTTCATTTTAATTGTGTTCTTTAAAAATAAAACAACACATATAAATAATTACTATTGCAAAAATATTGCTTTATAGGAGTTTATTTAAAAATAATGAACTCCCCAACTGTATTTATCCATTCTTTCATTCCATTTATGGATCAAGCATAACCTGAGTACCTGCTATGTAGCAGACATATTCTGTCATCTCTCAGGACCCGTCCATCCTTAAACACTTCATGTTTACCTGCCCCACCTGCACAAGCTGAGAGATTTAAAATAGGAATATTGGGACTTAATCTCCTTGAAACTTTATCTCCCACCTTTCAAACAAAAGCATTTCTGAAGTTAGAAAATAGTAGAAGATAACCTTTAACTGCTCTTTCGAAAGT
Source organism: Homo sapiens (assembly GCF_000001405.40). Classification (NCBI taxonomy): domain Eukaryota; kingdom Metazoa; phylum Chordata; class Mammalia; order Primates; family Hominidae; genus Homo; species Homo sapiens. The sequence goes on from NC_000009.12 coordinate 67,861,729, forward strand.
TTATCAGTCTTAAATACTAATATTAATCATTGGAAAGTCTTATTTGCATATATTTTCTAAGTATAAATATTGAATACAATGAGCCATATGTATTCATTTGAATCATGAGTTTCCTTTGGTTTCAAGTTGTTTGAAAATCAAAGAATTAATTTGTTTAAAAAATGCATTATTGTTATTTCAGTGCTCTTTCCCCATAGTACCTTTAAGAACTAAAATGTATTTAAGTTTCAGTTACATGCCTAGAACTGCCCTAGACCTGCTGAGTATACCATATTCTACTTAATGTAAGGTCTCATGGATTGCGTGATGCCCCGATATTTTATATATCAATAAGATAATTTTTAAAATGCTACCAATTATAGTTATAACAAATCATGAATTATAAGTGGCATTCCAATGTCAGAGGTGTTAAAATGTGACCTACTCGTTAAGTCATCTTGCAAAGTAGGTATAATTGTATCATTCTACCTAATTAAAATGGTTTTGTTAAGTAGTAGTAATAGTAATAATTATAATATCTGGCTGGGTGCAGTGGCTCACACCTGTAATCCCAGAACTTTGGGAGGCTGAGGTGAGAGGATTGCTTGATGCCAGGAGTTTGAGACCAGCCTGGGCAACAAAGTGAGATTCTTACTCTACAAAAATTTTTAAATAAATAGCTGGGCATGCTGGTGCTCATCTGTAGTCCCAGCTACTCAGGAGGCTGGGGATGGAGGATCATTTGACCCAGGAGTTCCAGGTATAGTTACACCATTGCACTCCAGCCTGGGCAAAAGAGTGAGACTTTGTCTCAAAAAACAAAAATCTTACAATTATTGAGTTGTCGTAGGAACTGTTCTACATACTTTACATAGCTTCTCATTTAAGCATCACGATGGTGTCCTATGAGATAGCTACTATTGTCATCTTTATTAATGAGGAAGTTGAGGTACAGAAAGGCTAAGCAATAGTTGGTAAGTGTCAAGGCTTAAAGTAGGACTCAAGCCCTAGTTGAACCGAATCCAAAGACTGAGCTCTTTCTACTCAAATAGGCTGCTGTTTTCATTAAGGCAGTGAGCAATAAGAGCTAGTAAGTATTGTACTTTCTTCAAAAAATTTATTTGTTTTGAAGGCAGAGGAAAAACATGCTATTCAGTTTTTACATTACATGAATGATTGTATGTTTTGAGATATTGTACTACAGTTTCTTAAAAAATCCTCTTACTCTCATAGAACTGCTCTACACTTGGCCTGTACCAGTGGCCATGTGCAAGTGGTCACTCTCCTGGTTAACAGAAAATGCCAGATTGATGTCTGTGACAAAGAAAACAGAACGCCTTTGATACAGGTATATTAGAGCCAACTCTTTTAGCATGACATGGATTTGATTTACATATATAGAATTAAAATAAATTGATCTCATTTACATATAACTAGTTGGTGAAACCTGTGGAATGTGTATTTTGAATTCTTGGAATTTACAATCTGTTTCTTGGTCTAACACGGACAGGCTGTCCATTGCCAGGAAGAGGCTTGTGCCGTTATTCTGCTGGAACATGGCGCCAATCCAAACCTTAAGGATATCTACGGCAACACTGCTCTCCATTATGCCGTGTATAGTGAGAGCACCTCACTGGCAGAAAAACTGCTTTCCCATGGTGCACATATTGAAGCACTGGACAAGGTATAGGTCAATCAACTTTCTTTCCAAAATATTTGTTTTAACATTGACATAGGTAAGGGTCAATTTTTTATATTTGGAAGATCAACCATTCCCTGAATGCAAATACAAATTAAGTTATTTTGAAATAACTTGTCTAAGATTTTATTTTAAATATTGATATTTTTAAAGAAGCATTAAAGGGCACAGCTTTATAAAATGCACTTTGGAAAATATTTGTGAATTTGTTAAAGGTAAAACCTTTTCAACTTTTTTTCTACACAGGCTTATTCTTTTTTTTTTTTTTTCTTAATTAGTGTAAAACAACACAGGAAATAAAATATTCCCCGGAAATAGGCTTTATCTTAAAACTCAAACAAAACTAAAGCAACTTACAATAAAGGGACATGTTGCTGTTGCTGCTAATTTTCTGAAAAACTGATGTATCATCTTTCAGTGGCAAGGCTTAAGAGGGAAAAATGGGAGGGGAGAAAGAGAGCAATCAGAAATATGCAGGTCACTTGGATATTAGATAATGAGGGAAAATGCCAGGAAGAGGTTTTTTTTTGTTTTTAAGTTTGTTTTATGTGTTGAGACAAGGTGCTGTTTAGCTTTGGGTCTAATAATTTTTGGTTTGAAAAAGAATGAGTTGCAACTTGCCTAGAGATGAATTTTAGGAGGACTCTGAGGAAACCAGATTGGCAGTGAATATGTGGTGACGAAGTGAGAAACACTTCAGCAGAAGGTGGAACAAATTATTAACTGACTTATTGCTCATCCTGGCAGAAACAGCCACTTAGATAAGAACCTAAAGCCTCCTCTCAAATCTAGAATGTCTTAGTGGGAAGGTGGGAGATAAGGAGCTTGTAAATAGCAAAATCAAGTGGGATTTTGAGTTTACTTGTCCCTGTTCTACCCATAGCCAGGAAACTTAACTGGAGTTTTAATAAATGACACTATCTCTTACTCTTTTCTCTTTTTGGCCACATCTCCAACTGATAAAGGAATTAGCCATGTGGGTGAGAGGTGAGACTGAAGTGATTGTCTGCTGCACTGATTCTCAGAATTGTGCATTACAGTGACCTGAGGACATTTTGTTAAAAATCTACAATTGTAGGCTTTCCCCTGAAGATTTTGATGTAATAGACCTAATAAGGCCTGAACGTGTTTAAAAATGTTTTCTTGAAGCTGGGCACAGTGGTGTATTCCTGTAGTCCCAGCTTGAGCCTAAGAGTTTGAATCCAGCTTGAGCAACATAGTGAGACTCTTGTCTCTAACAACAATAATAGCCAAAAAAAAAAAAAAAAACCCCAAAAAAACAAAAAACCTTCAAGGTTGGGATACACTCTTGATTAAAAACCCCAGAATAGATAAGTGCAATATATAAATTTCTGTATCTCAAAAATGTAAGAAATCTCTAGAAGAGTTGGCATTTGATAGTTGCCACTTCCTTCAAAATTCTCCTTTTCAATTATATTAGCCTGACTTATCTGTCTTTCTCTACATCTGTGACTGGGAAGTGAAAGGAAATATCATTGGCAATATCTCTCAGCTTGCAGAATAACATGTTTTGCTTCCCACCATGAATCATTCACTACCATTCAGAGAGTCTTCAGAAATTTGCTTATGAGTAATCTTTCAATAGGTAGAGGCTGACCCTTTCATGATTTCATGTCCCTTTGTCACCACGCAGGTGATTATGTGTCAACAAATGTTCATTACAAGTTTGGCTTTCTCAATTAGAATAGTAGCAAATCCTAAACTATTTTTTTTAGTTGAAGTTTTATTATGAACTATCTCAGTATGTTTGTTAAGTTTATAGAACTTTAGCATACCCAAAATGTCAGTTTTAAACACTGAAATCCATGAAGTTAATAAGAATATAGATAGGAATTCTTTTAATAATTTAGTTTTAGCAGTCTTGTGAACCAATTATCTATTTGGTTAACAATCTGGGAAAATTATATACAAACATATTTTAAATGAATACATGTTGGAAAAATTCTTGAAGCAGGTATTGTGAGTCTTTTTAGCAATTTTTATTATATATGAGAGCCTGAATTTTTGGTAGAACATATGATACCAGAGAAAGAAAATATTTTACATGCAAATACTTGGATTATACACAACCATTTAGTAACACATTAATAGCGAATATAAAAAAAACAAGGGCTATATTCTAATGTGGTACACAGATTTGTTTGTTTGCCTCTATAAGTTGAATCAACATGTAAAATTTAGAAGACTCGTGAAGAAATGTGGACTTCAGGCATATCCTAAAAAATCAAATCTGGTGTCCCCTGAGTTTCTATCATTGTTTGGTCTGCTGTGCAGAAGTTGCCCCTTTATAGAAGGCAGGTATTCTCCAGTTTGCTACTGTGCCCACCTTAGTACTTCCCTTACTCAGGCAACCTTCCTTTGTCCTTGTAAGTATCTGAGTTTACAACTCCTATGTTATAGTATATTTTGATAAAAATTTCAAGGTTTTTAAGTCAGCATGTATTTGTTTATAATATATAGTCTATAGAGTATATAAATCCCTCAGTTATGGAGTTGAATTTTAGAGTTTAGAAGCTTTTAACTCTTTTCTTTATATATACCACAAATAATTCTCTGCCCATAAGAATGCCTAGAAGCCTTTTTAGGTTATTCCTGGTTATAGTTGGATAATTTATGAATATTGCAGACAGTACATCTTTCTCCTCAGTGCTCTTCCTTAAGGATGCAAGTGACTTATTGGCTTGTATTATGCCAGAAATAATCCATATGGATCAGTATGAGAACTTCTATTGATAAACCATTATGTTTTTATTTCCGATTTATATTTTGTCTAAAATAAAAAATAATTTTAAGTAGCCATTTAAGTGGAAGCCAGTAAAAATGGATTTAAAAAGTAGAGCTGCACTAGGGTCCCGGGATTACCATTATAATTGAGAATAGTATTTCTTACTGAGTTTTGGTTTTTAAAATATTTGTTCTTAAGTTTTTTAAACCTATCTCTCTTACACAGAATATACTGAGCTTTCTAACAGTAAAGATAAAAATCTCTTCTCTTGTATTAGGGGAAAAACCCATGGACTATTTAATAATAAGGAAAATAAATGCATTTGAAGCCAATCTGTCTTAATTCAAAGCTCATTTCCATGGTGACCCATTTGGAGCAGGAGTGCCTGACATTGGCATCTGGGATCCTGACACCATTGATAGAAGTGAATCAAGCAAGTTTGTACCACCCAGAGGGAACTGCCACCTGTATTGGGAAGCTCTGGCAACTGTATCTCTGAAACTCTTAATTCCTCAAATGTTAATGTTTGCCACAAATAGTATTGTGAAAGGGGATTAGGTGAAATTAAAGAGATTTCTTGATTATTGGACATAAAATACAGTTTTGTAATACTTCTCAAATACAGATGGTCATGGAGTCTTTCTCTTGCGGTATAATACTTCTGATAAAGCAAATATTCTTTGGAATATAGTTTAAGAGACACTGCTTTAGAGATAGTAATTTAGATCATTAATTAATGTAAAAAACTTAAAATATTTGCTACTGTGTCTTAGGGTTTTAGGCCCTTGCCTCAAGAAGCTCTTGGTTTCAGTGGGAAACAGTGAAATGACTGCAATGTACCATGATAAGTGCTGTTATCAAAGCAAGGATTCTTGGGACTAGTAAATGTTTAAAGTGAGTTTTGGCAATGACCACAGTTAATCCGGGGAGACAGAGGAGGGTTGTTTGCAAGGCAAAGCACAGCACATCAGAAAGCACAGAGGAGTGAGAATGAAGGGAATGCTTTTCATTTACTTCCTTTCTGTATTGTATGTTGAAGTTCAAAGCATCCTAGAGAAGATTTTCAGTTCAGTTGAGAAATATGTAATTTTGTGAATTATTAATTTTTTTCTGCTGTTTTATAGGACAATAATACCCCACTTTTATTTGCTATAATTTGCAAGAAAGAGAAAATGGTGGAATTTTTATTGAAAAAGAAAGCAAGTTCACATGCCGTTGATAGGCTGAGACGGTACAGTAGTTCTTTTTTTAAAAATAAAACCTGAGTATTCTAGAGTGGTCACTCAAGTCAGAAATATTAATAAGAAGATTAACATAATTATTGGCATATAATGAAAAATATCACCATGAATAATCAGGTAGACCAGCAAATATTTGGACTGAGTAACATAAAGAATAGTATATAGTAGGATTCATCTTCTCTTATAATATACAGTGTTTGGTATTTATAATCAGATGTTTTTGGTACTGTAATCTTTTATTAGCTAAAGGGTTTTGTATTAGTTTTATTAATTTTTTTTTTTTTGAGATGGAGTCTTGCTCTGTTGCCAGGCTGGAGTGCAGTGGTGTGATCTCAGCTCACTGCATTCTCCACCTGCCAGGTTCAAGCGATTCTCCTGCCTCGGCCTCCCAAGTAGCTGGGACTACAGGTGCACGCCACCATGCCCAGCTAATTTTTGTATTTTTAGTAGAGATGTGATTTCACCATGTTGGCCAGGATGGTCTCGATCTCTTGACCTCGTGATCTGCTCTCCTTGGCTTCCCAAAGTGCTGGGATTACAGGCATGAGACACTGCACCTGACAAGTTTTATTCATTTTTAAAGTGCGGACTTTTAGTTTATGACTACTAGCATTGTCATTATTATTATTGTTGTTGTTGTTGTTTTCAGCCTGCAGATAACTCTTATCTGACCCCTAGCTGATTTGACTAGGAAAGCAACGGGGAAATCTTCATCTAAATCTTTGCCTACTTTAGATAAGTGACCTCAGCACAGTTTCTTGGCCATCAAAGGACTATAAGTTAGCAACTTGTATTATGTCTTACCCCAGTGGGACAAGAGGCTTCCCTGTTGTCCCTTTCTTTTAGCCTTGGTGACAATTTACAAAGATGAACACTTGAGCACCCTAGATGCTTATAGACCCAAGCTAGTACATGCAAATGGTTATTACATCTATACTGACAGGCAGATATTAAACTGGTAAAGTGTATCAAACTAGCTTTTTAAAAAAGTCTTTATTAAAGTTCTTGAGTGGAGTTATTTCTTTGTTGTTTTAGGTCAGCTCTCATGCTTGCTGTATACTATGACTCACCAGGTATTGTCAATATCCTTCTTAAGCAAAATATTGATGTCTTCGCTCAAGACATGTGTGGACGAGATGCAGAAGATTATGCTATTTCTCATCATTTGACAAAGTAAGTGTTTATGTTAAAAGGCCAGTTAATGCTAAATTGAAGTTTAAAATAATTGCAACTACTCCATCTTATACATTAGGTGAGAGTTCATAGTTTGGTTCAGATAGTTGGAAATAGCGAAGAGTTAGTCTACCTTTTAGCCAGAAATCAAGCAGAAGTCTAGATTAGTTAGAAGTAGAGTGCGAGATTTTTTCTGGATTTTTGAGACATTTATCCCTAGGGATCTCAATGTTATTCATTTTATTCTAAGTATAATCCCCATGCATGGGATAAAAAGAGCCATGTCTTTGATTTCTTTTCCTTTCCTTTCCTTTTTTTTTTTTTTTTTGTAGAGACAAGGTCTCACTCTGTTGCCCTGGCTGGTCTTGAACTTTTGAGGTCAAGTAATCCCCCTGCCTCGGCCTCTGAAAGTGCTAGCCACCATGCCTGGCCTTACTTTTCTAATTAGTTATTGAGTCTTGTAATGTCCAGTTTAACAGAAAATCTTGTATTGTCCCCTGGGGCTCTCTCCTGTGTCTTCCTTCTTTGAATTTTCCAAGAAGCTAAGGGGTTTCCTAAGTCCAAGGAAGGCAATCTTTCTTTACAAGTCAGAAGAAGGGGAAAAAAGGCCATTCTAATCATTCTGTTGTTTCCATGGACTCACTTGCTGTATTATTGCCATTATAACCGGTCCTGCAATCTGATAATGATTGACCTTTGCCACCAGGATGCCTTCACTGATTCAGACCCCTCAGTTTTCATGGTGATTCATATATAGAGGTCAAAGCTACGGTGTTTATTAGTTTATGTACTTGTGCTCAGTCATTGTTCCCAGCACCCTGCTCTGGCAGCTAGGCCTCCTAGCTTTATCCACACAAATATTGAGCAAGTTGATGCTCACCCTACACTAAAAACCTTATTTGGAGCCCACGTCTTAGCTAGACTTTGCCTAGGCCTTCATGGTATGTTATCCTTTGAGAGCCATGTTTGTCTTTCCTTTAACCAATATTAGTTGGGATTGTTCTCAATAGTCAGGGATGTTCAAATAATGTTGCAGGAAGAGATCAGAGTTCCCTGTCTCTTTTGCTATCAGATCTGTACCTTGAGGCTTTTTTATATCCTGTGCAGCAGCTTTGGTTAGATAGCGGAATGTTCCATGTTATCTTTCCACTGAGTAGTGGGAACCAGCTTGCAGTTGGCCCCTCAAGTAATGTGTCTCTATAATCATGAAAATCTCCTGGGCTACTTGCAGCTCTTCCTCAAGTTTTCAATATATTTTAAAATTCTACCTCACAGGAAGCCATTCAATAAAATTCTCTGAATCTGAAGTAAGTGAGTTGGATTTAATAGAGCTAAGCCTCATCCATGACTCATGAATATCCATGTATCAAACAGGGCTTTGTACTTATTTCAACAGCACATATTTTAAAATTGGATCAATACAGAGCAGATAAGCATGGCTACTGCCTAGGGATGGCACACAAATTCAGAAAACATTCCATATTTTGCCTAGTCCCAGGAAGGCCATTTGACTATTTGTTGAGTAGCTCCAAGGAAGCAGTGTGAGCAAAACCAAAACAGGTGACACGCAATATTGAAATTGTGATTATCGCTATGAAACTATTGATGTATGGTGATCTCTGAAATGGGAACAGAGCTGAGTAATAAGGGGATGTTACATGTTGTTAGTACATGTCTTGGAAATGAGAAAATGTCAACTTGTATTTCCTTCATGGAACTGAAAAACAATCAAAGCAGGGTTTTGTCTTGTCTGTTAGTTGGAGAGGACCATGGAGATCCAGCAGCCAAGCACAGATCTGCTGGCTCAGAGTTTGAGGAGGTAGAGAAGGAGTGGTAGTTGTCCAAGCCAGGTTTTGACACCTATTAGTTTTCTGCCCTTGGTGTGATTGAAGAGCTCAGTGATGAGCTCACTAAATTTATATATATAGAAATTTAGTAATAAGTTATGAATTAGGTAAAATGCCCTGAATTACAAGCCACAATGAATACAAGTAATAACCAAAATTAGCACTTAATAACATTTTCTGAAAACTGCAACATTTGAGTATTAGAACTTACAGAAAAACACACACCGAGCATTATTTGGGATTCCAAAATGGTTTCAGCAATAAAGTTCAAGAATAAATTATTCCATTGCTTTACTATTTCTCTGAACATATAAACATGTAATCTCATTACATCTTCCAAACAACCTAGTGAAGTAAGGTAGCAGAATCCTTGTTTTTTAGAAGAAACCATGGAGCCTAAGAGAAGCAACTTGTCTGAAGACAAAATACCTACAGAGCGAGGTATTTTGGTTACAGAGCAAGGACTTACTCTGAGTGCAGGACACTTTGCATGATATCCAGCTAACTAGAGTTCATTTACTGAGCTGTGCTTCCTCCATTTATGAGTACTTCACTTTCTTTTCTTCTTTAATTATAAGCTTAATAAGCTTGTAAGGTTTACAAATTTGAAGTGTATGGGACATTAAAATTCTGATATTAGGTCTGATATTGCTTGAAAGTGTTTTGGAATTTAATATGTTTGGTGAATATTTTTTATTTCATTATAAAAATAGCAATTTTATTTATTACTTTTGTATACATAGAATTCAACAACAAATTTTGGAACATAAAAAGAAGATACTTAAAAAGGAGAAATCAGGTAAGACTTCTGATTGTGAATTTCTTACTTCTCTTGGTGGTCCTACTCTTGATAAGAAAATACAAAGTAAGATGTAAGATTAAGGTAGTTTCAGTCAAAAAAGACCAGTTTAAAAATATGTGTAAATTGAATGTGTATATATGTATATACATATGTAAATTAATTTTTAAAATTTAACTTCTTTAGTTTGAAATTCAGATTTATTTAAGAAGGTAGTTGTAGCTAATTTATAATCTCAAACATTATTGTCTGAAAACATTCATTTATTAATTATGATCCCTAAAATCCTATATAATATTTTTGCATAAATAAGAAAAAAGATTTTTAAGTTAGTATGTTGTATGTTTCCTCTATAGTCACATTATAACAAATTGGACTTGTTATACAAATGGATCTTCGATTTCATTTTTATAATAAATTGTTTATATTTAGTAAACAAATAACTACAGTTGACCCATGAATAATGTGGGGGTGAGGGACTCTGATCCCTGTGCAGTTGAAAATCTGAGTATAACTTTTGATTCCTTCACCTTAGCTACTAATAGCCCACAATTGACTGGAAGCCTTCCTGATAACATAAACAGTTGATGAACACCTATTTTGTTTGTGCTGCATTATTATATACTGTGTTCGTACAATAAAATAAGCTAGAGAAATGAAGCTGTTAGAAAGGAAATCATCAGGAGAAACATATTGACTTTTCATAAAGCATAAGTAGTCCTGACAAAGGTCTTCATGATCTTCAGGTTGATTAGGCTGAGGAGGAAGAGGAGAGGTGGATCTTGCTGTCTCTCTGTTGCAGAGGCAGAAGAAAATCTGCATATAAGTGAATCCCTGCAGTTGAAACCCTTGCTGTTCAAGGGTGAACTGTATTACATATTGATTTGTGTCACTAAGAAAGTAACTATCTTTAGAACCAGGAACTCAGCAATCCCTTTCTGGTACCATAAGTAAATGGCAATAAGAACTGTAGAACTGAACCAGTGTGCACCCATACAAATAGGAGATTATTTTTTGAAGACAGCTACTGAGCACAGGAGACGGAAAAGCAATTCCTTTGTGAGAAGCACAAGTTATATTACATATTCGTACACAAGCAAAATGATTTTATCTGTCATAGTTTACATACATACACATACACACACGCACATGTGCACACACCTGTGCACACAGACACAAAGTTAAAAGTCCTGCTGATTCTTAATGACCAAATCCAACTGTTCACAGAGAGCGGTGGATAGCGCATCCTACTGTTTGGATGCAATTCTTTTGACTTTTTGACTTGTTTTGTGATGAACTGCCTTTAATGGGTTTAAATCATGTTTTCAGTTTTATGAGAAATGAAGAAAAAGATTAGAAGCAAGTAAACAGGAACTCTATGGTCAGTGGTAGACTATAATAGTATATTCAATAGTCATATGTTTTTCTCCAGTTATACAATTTACTTGAATGATGCACAATTAATCAATTATTATTATCATAGGAGATGGGGTCTCTCTATGTTGCCTAGGCTAGAATACAGTGTCTATTCATTGGTGCAATCATAGCTCACTGTAGCCTTGAACTCCTGGGCTCAAGCAGTCCTCCTACTTCATCCTCCTGAGTAGCTGGGACTACAGTTTTGTGTGGTTACATCTGGCCTGATACACAATTATTTATTTGTTTATTTATTTTTAATACAGGGTCTCCCTCTGTTGTCAGTACTGGTGTGCAGTGGTGCCATCTTGGCTCACTGCAACTTCTGCTTGCTGGCCTTAAATGATCCTTTCACCTTAGCCTCCCAAGTAGCTTGGACTACAGGCATGCACTACCACACTTGGCTAATTTTCTTTTTAAGGGATTTTTGTTTGTTTGTTTGTTTAATAGATGAGGTCTCACTATATTGCCGAGGCCGGTCTGGAACTTCCGGGCTCAAGTGATCCTCCTGCCTCAACCTCCCAAAATGCTCGGATTTACAAGTGTGAGCCACTGCACCTGGCCTTCAAAATTATTATAAAAAGGAATGAAGCCCAGTTGAGTTGCAGAAAATTGACCACTTTTTCATTTTTTTTCTAGAAACATTCATATTGTAGAACATATTGTCAATCACCCAGATTCTCTATTTTTTATTCAGATAAAAGAGGATTGCTGCTCATTTCACATTATTTTCTGACATTATTTTTTCATTTATTCCTTCTATGGCTTTATTCAATTGGATAGATATAGAAATACAAGAATCTCCAAGTCAAATATCAAGGCAAAAAAAGAAAAGAAAAACAGATTAGGTAAAGTTATTCTGTGAAATAACCATCTGATTACAGTTACACGTATCATATCAACTTAATACAAATCTTACACAATGAATTTGTGTCAAGGTTTCCCAAGACCACCCCAGGTTTGGTGGTTCATTAGAAGGACTCACAGGACTCAACAAATAGTCATACTCAGATCTTTAATTGATAACAAGGAAGGGGACAAGCAAAATTAGTAGAGGAAAAAGGTGCATGTGGTCAATTCTGGAGGAAACAAGGCACAAGCCTCCAGGAGTTCTGTCCTGTGGAGTTCCCGGGATCTGCTTAATTCTCCCAGGCTCACATTTTGACAACATATGTGCAGTGATGTCTACCAGTACCAGAGTTTCATTAGAGACTAAGTGCCCAAGTTTTTCTATGGAGGTTACTCTCCCTCACATGTACCCAAATTCCAGACTCTTACAAGGAAAGCAGCTGTTTAGAGTAAATACACTGTTTCTATAAGCACTTTAGACACAGTGAGCCACTCTTCTCAGGGAATGGTGGAAACCCTCCCATTTCCAATTTCCTAAACACCAGCCAAGGGCCAGCCTTGCATGCAGGCCTTTCTAAGGATGGCAGCCTCTTGCCTGCTATATGAAATCTTTTCTGCACAACACTTGTAACCCCAACTTAATTTTTGGTGTTGTTTTAAAATTTCATTTTAATAACATAATATTATAAGATAAGGTAACTTGGTACTAATTTCTGTTGTATGATCCATCTTAAGTTGCAGTGCTTGTTACTTTTTTGACTTTTGGTGATGAACAGCTATTTGTATATAAGTTACCATAGCAATGTTAGGTAATTATAATCTGTCCTATTTATCTCATTAACCTTTCAGTAAAATTGTTAAATTAAATAAGCAAAATAATTTCTGAGTTAACATTAGAATAAAAATTGTCTTTTATTTTGATTACATGAATAGTCTAGTTTTCATATTGTGCTAAATCCCTGTTTAGAATTATGAAATAAGATAAAATATTCAATTATTTTTATCAATATTTTCTTACCTAAGCATGCAATTAAATTTATTTATTTTATATATTTTATATAGTTCAATTTGAGAAGTAATGACCACATGTTGTTACTTTGGTCTTCAATGATCTCTAATTTTTAGGGTCACCGTGTCTTGCTTAAATATATCATAGTAACAGGTTCAGTGAATATCTTTATTTTTTATTTTATTTACTTATTTTTTTGAGACGGAGTTTTGCTCTTGTTGCCCAGGCTGCAGTACAATGACATAATCTTGGCTCATTGCAACCTCCACCTCCCAGTTTCAAATGATTCTCCTGCCTCAGCCTCCTAGGTACCTGGAACTACAGGCATGCACAATCATGCCTGGCTAATTTTTTGTATTTAGTAGAGATGGGGTTTCACCATGTTAGTCAGGCTGGTCTCGAACTCCTGACCTCAGGTGATCCACCTACCTCGGCCTCTCAAAGTGCTGGGATTACAGGCATGAGCCACTGCCCCCAGCCATTTATTTATTTATTTATTTATTTATTTATTTATTGTAATTGTTCTGGAGATCCTGGGATGCATAGACAGTGAATATCTTTTTGTTTTTTGAGATGGAGTCTCACTCTGTCTCCCAGGCTGCATTGCAGTGGTGCGATCTCAGTTAACTGCAACCTCCACCTTCTAGGCTCAAGCGATTCTCCTGCCTCAGCCTCCTGAGTAGCTGAAATTACAGGTGCCAGCCACCATGCCCAGCTAATTTTTGTATTTTTATTAGAGACGAGGTTTTGCCATGTTGGCCAGGCCGGTCTTGAACTCCTGACCTCAGGTGATCCACCCATCTTTGCCTCCCAAAGTGCTGAGATGACAGGCATGAGCCACTGAGCCCAGCTGAATATCTTTTTTTAAATCAATAACCTTATTTCTTAGAGCAGTTTTAGGTTCACAGCAAAATTGAGAGGAAGGTACAGAGATTTCTCATATATCCCATGCCTCCCACACATGCATAGCCTCCCCCATTATTACTATTTTCCACCAGAGAGTGGTACATTTGTTACAACTGATGAACTTACATTGACACATTATAATCATTCAAAGTTCATAGTTTACATCAGGCTTCACTCTTGATGCTGTACATTCTGTGAATTTGGACAAGTGTATAATGACATGACATGTATCTATTACTGTAATATTATCGACAGAACAGTTTCACAGCCCTAAAAACTCTCTGTGCTATGCCTGTTCATCTTTCCCTTTCTCCCTAGTAACTCGTGGCAACCATTGATGTTTACTCTGTCTTCATAGTTTTACTTTTTTCAGAAGAGTCACATAGTTGGAATAATACAGTGGATATCTTTTTGAATAGTTAAAAAATTAAAGCTCCATGGCAGTTGAATGTAGTCATTTAAGATGTTCTTTGTCCTTTTGTTTTTCTTTTGCTTCTTTATCATTGTAAAGAATGATATATTCTGATGACATATGCTTTACATACTTAGAAAACATGATTTGTATAGATATGTGGCACATAATAGAAAGGGTTGAGGAAAAGGACACCATGCTGTACCACACAGCACAAACTGGAGCATCTTGCTCTGTGAGGTGGGTCCAGATAGATTCTCTATCAATGGAAGGGGACAAGTGCAAGGGGTTGTACTTTATAAAACTGGAATCACAAAGTCTTTCATACTTACCTTCGGTTGGAAATAAGACCAGACAGTGAATGCTATAGGTAAGTACATAGGTTCCTCACTGATCCTCTTCCTTTGAGGGATGAGGTTGACAACAGCCTGTATTATGATGATGTGACTCACCTACAACTAGATTCTGTCATGAGGGATAGCAAGAGAGTTTTGCTTTCTGTGAGGTGAAAAAGAATTTTTTTCCCCTACTAGGGAGAAGGGCAAGCACTGGAACATTCTGGTAGTAAAAGGGCATTGATGGTTTTCTTTCTATATATTTTTCACATCATATAGTACTGTCCAGCAGCCTGCCACACCTCCCTGGTGTTTCTTCAGCTTCTCTCTGAATGTGAGGTGTGGTTCCTAGCGTATAAGCTCTTAAAGGAGTGATCTTTCCAGTGGTTTTTCTGTGGGAGGTAAAATGGCAGGTGAATTTGGGCCTTGCTATATGTAGGGCAGAGCAAATAGCTACAACTAAGTAAACCACCCAGCACCTTCCCCAAAGAGTAGTAGCCAGAGTAATACATTGATCTCTTTTGAGCTCTTTTCCACTAGCGGCTGGAAAGTCTTTGCAAGGATTCCTGTTTCTGGTCTGATTCCTATGTTTTGCTGACATCTGGTGTTAGGGTGTTTTATTCTAAACTGAGCAGTTTGAACTGAAGAGCTAGAGAGGCTGTGTTGTGTTATAACAAAATAAGTGCAGTAGCTCCCCCTTAACTGTGGGAGATACATTCCAAGACCCCCAAGTGGATGCATGAAACCATGAATAGTACTGAATCACAAACTGTTTTTCCCTATACATACATATCTATGCTAAAGTTTAATTTATAAATTAAATTGAATCTGATGTTACCAGCAGATAAGGTGTGAGAATTGAATTATGTCATCAGCAGGAATGATTGCTTGCTTGTTGGTGGGGAAAAACCCTCCACACATTTGGTCACAGAAGCCTTCTTTGTTGATGATTGTTGCTGTGGTGTGACAGCAGAGAAAAATGTGTCAAGTATGTCTTTCTGCACGTATAGTGGATAAGGGGTACTACTGTGTACTCTGTTTTAATGGCGCCTCATATTTTGGTCCAGAAATCATGCTCTTTGACACTGGTGACTCATCACACCTGTTCTGCTAACAATACCATTTTTACTCAACCTCATAGGGTTTGGCTAAGATGACTTGCATACTGCAGTTCACTTGTAGATACCAAATTTTAATAAATTTATTCTTCTTTGCATCTAATAAATACAAAGGGAAGAGTTCTTACTGCATTAATTACCTACCAATATGTATAACGAATGTTAATTCTAATAAGGTCCCAGGCATGCTCCCAAAGGAATGCTTTGTAACAAAGCATCAGTCTTATGCTTTAAAAAACCAAACCAAACCAAAACAAAAACAACAACAACAAAAAACAGGATCTAAAGCATACATACAAGTGTGCACAATTTTTTTATGAAGGTAGAGTCTTACTATGTTTCCCAAGCTGGTCTCAAACTTCTGGGCTCCTCAAGTGATCCTCCTGCCTCAGCCTCCCAAGTAGTTTGGATTAGAGGGATGCATCACTGTGCATTCTTATGCTTTTAATATTCTGTACATTTGTTATTGATTTAAAATGCATTTTACCTTTTTCTTTAATAGATGTTGGAAGTTCTGATGAATCTGCAGTCAGGTAGGATTTTATAGATTTAAAAAATTATGTTAACTAAGAAAATATAGATGGAAGAAATGAGTATCTGTTGAGTGTTGTATTCTGGGCTAGACATCCTAATATGTTCTATGCATTTATCATCTCATAAAGCCATCACAACATCTGTGTTCCTGTAACCTACTGTTTATTAAATAAACAACTATGGATTAGAGCTGATTAATTGCCTCATGATCCCATAGTTAACAAAGTAGCTGGCCTACAGTTTGACCATCAGCCTGCCTGCCTTCCAAATCCTGTCTCTTGCTCCTCAGCATAGATTGACAGATATCTGTGCAGCCCTTGGATCAAGGTATAGGTCTGAATCAGATTAGTCAGATTGATTAATTTGATTAATGTCTAAATTAATGAGAGTTTAAATACCTTGAACTCTCATTTAAGTTTATCATTAGAATGTGGTTAGTCCAAGAGTTTGTCCTAATAAATTTGACAATTTCAGTGGTAACCAGTATCTTATTTTTACCATCAAAGGCTCTAGGGCAGATCTTACTTAGCTTTGCCATAGGGGTGTAAGTTTTACAAAAGCAAGTTTAGGCAAGTCTTAGAGACAAATTATTTGACTTCCCAGTTTGGTTTTCCATTTAGGCAAGTATTTCTGCTTACTTCCATAATACATTTTTTAGTCTTGTTGCTTTTTCCGTGACTTTTCTATAATCTTGCCTTCATTTTTTAAAACTTTCTTCTCTGCTTTTCTTGGTATTTCTTTTGTTCTATTATTTTTTCAAACTCTGCTGGCTATGTATTCTAAGTTTTTCTATAGACAGAATCAAGAGGACATAGAATTACAGAATTTTAAGGAATCTTGGAATGAATTAAAATACCTTCTAGTATTTTTACCTGTGTTGAACATTCTGGTCAAATGATTCTCTAGATAGAGAATGTGAGGCTCAAAGAGTTTAGGATGCTTTTTTTTAGACATAGGAATTGGCAGAAATGAGATTTGAACTCATGTTAAAGCCCAGTACTCTTGCTTCTTTTTATATCCTATTGGCGTGTGTTTTAATAATACAAACAGGAGTGAGTCTGTGGGTAGAATGAGAATGGAATTAGCTGGGGAACCCAATGGAAGTAGATAAGAATGGAATGAGCAGGGAAGTCCAAGTTTGAAGATAAACAACACTGGATTGGATAGGAGTACAGACTCTTCTATAAGAGATCAAAATATTGGGGTTTATGACAAGTTTGATAAAGATAAATTATAAAAATGAAGGACACAAGATGTTGGGAATTATCTACGAAGGCACATTAAAATAGAAGGTTCAAGGGAGCTCTAAAAAGTTTGCTGCTTTTTTTTAAATCAAGGACTGACAAACTTGAAGATTTTTACTGAAAGATGCTAAAACATTTTGAGACACTGGGAGGAGCGTCTGCAGCAGATAGAAATGTGGTGTCATCTACTTCCATCCTGACTTAGAAAGGGGTGGCTTAGAGCCCCTGGAGTACTAAGGGGCTGGAGATTGCTGAACTACATAGATCTGTGGCCCAGTACAGGTGTCTCCTCACCTCTGCCTCTTTTCCCGATTCACTGATGTCCTTCCCATGTCCATGTGGGCTGGGTCAGGGGCATGATTGGCTGGCAAATCAGTCATGGAGTTCAGTTGGGTAGTTGGTAGTGTGTCTAGCTGGGGACAGGTGATGGAGACTCCAGTTAGCTTGTTTTTCAGGAGCAGGGATATAGAGAGCTCCTAGTCCTGGTCATTTGAGGCCATCCTTTCAGGAATCTGTGCTTTCATAGACAGAAGATTTAAAGATTGGAGACTTCTGTGGAGCCCTGCAGAAGTGGAATCTGGAAGTGGGAGCCCATAGGAAGACAGATACTTAGAGAGTACTTAGGGAAATAGAGGTACACCTACCAGGACTCTGTTTTTTTCTGACAGTCTCTCTCCTTGGGTGTCTGAGTGCCTATGAAAAGTTTTAAGGGCTTGCTAGTTTATGTGGACCTGAATAAGGTAGGACCTATAGGGTGAAAATAATGGGATTTTATAATTGTTAATATTTCAATCTTTCTGGGAAAAGTATTCTCAATAAGAACATACACCTTTGTTATTTGACTTCTGTACATTTAGCTTTCATACATTTCAAATATTGTAGGGGCTTTCCTGTACTGATTTAGGGCAAAGGAAAGCAATAGGACCTTCCTAAGTGGGTTCCATGCTGAGGAATCAAGACTGCCATATTGAAGTGATGCAGATTAGTCTTTTATCCAGAGACAGATCATGGAAAAGAGACAGTGGATCTTTCTACCTTGTTTTAGGTTATTAATTTTCTTCCAGTTTAGGTAACAAAATTTATGTCATCCATTAATTGAATTTTAAGTTCAGCTTCAGGACAGATAATTTGTGAGGGCAAATCATTGTCAGGCTCTGCCAATTTATTGACTGTCACTATTTGTTATAAAGCTCAAGGTTAGTTTTCATTGAATATTTTATAGATTTAGACAAGTGGAGGCAGAAATAGGTAACTAAAATCTATTTTTAGAAGAGGACATATTTTAATTATATCAAGAATCACTATTTAATATATAGATTGCTGACCTTTCCCTAGATTATGGTTTCCTTTTTTGAGGGGGAAGCTGGATATAAACTGGCAGTTAAAAAAATTGTAAAGAAATCAACTTGCTCATTTTCGTTGTGTGTTTTTGCTCTCAAGCATTTTCCATGAACTGCGTGTGGATTCATTGCCTGCATCGGATGACAAAGACTTGAATGTTGCTACTAAGGTAAAGTGGTCTCTTGTAAAATTAATTTTCTCACTCTGAATGTACTTTTGCATAGTATTTACTTTTCAAATTTAGCAGTGGTTTACCTATCATTGTTTTATGGTGGTAATGGAAAGTTGGTCAGAGAAAAACATACATATGGCTAGTTGATTCAAAAAATGTGTTTAACTTTGGTAACTAACAAAGATTGATAAGTACTGTGACAGGGTGGGAGCTGAAAAAAAATGAACTGGAAAATTAGTAGTGACAGGAAAATCACATTAGGAAATGCTTTCTCCAATAGAGGAAATATGAAATTTGCTTAAGGTTTATTTGGATAAATACTAATACTTTGACTTTTAAATCATACGAGTGTGACTTTCTTAATATTTATGCCTGTATAAATCTTCAGTGGATCAAATTATTTGCAGTAATCATGGGATCCTCCTGGTGATTTTTAGTGGCAAGAATATTCAGCACATAGCATATAGCTTTTGTTCTTGGAAACTTATTATTTTGGTATCATATTGTTTTTACGAGAGATTGTTTTTCTACTTATATTATTGGTTCTGTAGTGAGACAAAAAAATTAATAATTGTAGAAAAATAACTGAGTGTGGTGGTGTACACCTGTAGTCCCTGCTACTTGGGAATTTGAGGCAGGAAGATTGCTTGAACCCAGGAGTTTGAGAACAGCCTGGGCAACATCGTATCTGATTTAAAAATATAAATTGTGGAAATATAGAAATTTAAATTTATGTTCTCAAAATGTGTATTGCAAAGGAATTTTTGTGTGGTTTATGAGTTGTCCATGAAGAGTTTATATAAGGCACTTCATCTAATTGAATAACATGTATTTTGCTGCAAATAACCAGTTCTAGAAGCAGAGACTCTTAATACCAATGGATGGTAAGACTTTATCATCATAATTTTGTCATTGTAGTTTATTTAAAATATTTACTTCACCAGGCGTGGAGACTCACCTGTAATCCCAGCAGTTTTGGAGGCCGAGGTCGGTAGATCACCTGAGGTCAGGAGTTCAAGATCAGCCTGGCCAACGTGGTGAAACCCTGTCTCTAAAAAAAACCAAAACCAAAACAAAACAAAACAAAAGCAGAAAAATTAACCAGGCGTGATGGTGCATGCCTGTAACCCCAGCTGCTCAGGAGGCCAAGGTGGGAGAATCGCTTGAACCCGGGAGGCGGAGGTTGCAGTGAGCCAAGATCGCACCATTGCACTCCAGCCTGGGTGACAGAGCAAGACTACATCTTAAAAAATAAAATAACCACTCAAAGTCCTCATATCATATTCTGAAATTTTGAATTTCAGAAGGTTTTCTATTTAGTTGTTTAAATAATCATTGGAAGCTCCTGCATACCGTAAGCTACTGGAGGTCAGTAAACATATTTGTGTGTATCCTGGAGTACCTAGAATACAGTCTTCCATGTAAGAAGCATTTTACTTGTTGTTTTTTGAGATGGGGTTTCACTCTGTCCCCCAGGCTGGAGGGCACTGGTGAGATCTTGGCTCACTCCAATCTCCATTTCCTGGGCTCAGGTGATCCTCACACCTCAGCCATCCAAGTAGTTTAAACAATAGAGCTATGTCACCATAGACCTGTGTCACCATGCTCAGCTGAGTTTTGTAGAGACAGGGTTTTGCCTTGTTGCCCAGGCTGGTCTTTAACTGTTGGGCTCAAGTGTTCTGCCTGCCTCAGCCTCTCAAAGTGCTGGGTTACAGGCATAAGATATTCAGCCTTAATAATGTTTAATCTGAATAAATAGACAAATGAATTTTTATATAATGGAATGTTATAAGTAATATAATAAACCTAATGTAGCTAATAATTAAATATTGTATTTAAAATATTGCTTACATTGTATTTTTTAATATTTAAGGGTGTATAAGTTTTGATATGTTATGTTGAGAAATTATGCCATAATTAAAAAGGAAATAAAATAGAAATAGGTCATCAGTAGCAAATAGGGTTACAATATATTTTCTAGTATCATTCAACTGGAATCTTAACATTGAGATTTTAGATTAACATTTCTTAAGCTTTTTATTAGCTCCAACTCATGTTTTATTAAATATACTTTTTCAAGCCATACATTACTCTTTATTATTCTTATACTGTAAGTTCTAGGGTACATGTGCACAATATGTGGGTTTGTTACATGTGTATACACGTGCCATGTTGGTGTGCTGCACCCATTAACTCATCATTTACATTAGGTATATCTCCTAATGCTATCCCTCCCCCCTTGTCCGCCCCACGACAGGCCCCAGTGTGTGATGTTCCCCATCCTGTGTCCAGGTGTTCTCATTGTTCAATTTCCGCCTATGAGTGAGAACATGCAGTGTTTGGTTTTTTGTCCTTGCGATAGTTTGCTCAGAACGATGGTTTCCAGCTTCATCCATGTCCCTACAAAGGACATGAACTCATCCTTTTTTATGGCTGCATAGTATTCCATGGTGTATATGTGCCACATTGTCTTAATCCAGTCTGTCATTGATGGACATTTGGGTTGGTTCCAAGTCTTTGCTATTGTAAATAGTGCCGCAGTAAACATACGTGTGCATGTGTCTTTATAGCAGCATGATTTATAATCCTTTGGGTATATACCCAGTAATGGGATGGCTGGGTCAAATGGTATTTCTAGTTCTAGATCCTTGAGGAATCACCATACTGTCTTCCTCAAAGGATGAACTAGTTTACAGTCCCACCAACAGTGTAAAAGTACTCCTATTTCTCCACATCCTCTCCAGCACCTGTGGGTTCCTGACTTTTTAATGATCGTCATTGTAACTGGTGTGAGATGGTATCTCATTGTGGTTTTGATTTGCATTTCTCTGATGGCCAGTGATGATGAGCATTTTTTCATGTGTCTGCCATACGTTACTCTTTAGAATTCTGGTGACCAATTTTTTTCTGGGTGGAAAGTTGATTGAAAGTTCTAGTTTTCTCTCTGTGTTATAATAATGTTCTTTCAGGTAGTGGTCGATGACCATATTTAGCTAATTGAATGTCTTATAGTAATAAACTGTATCACAGAAGTACTTACAAAAAACTAATTGTAGCATAAATATTAATTAGTATTATCAGGGATATGAAAGAGCAAAAGGCTCTGTTATAGATCTATTTCCCCATGTACTTTATTGTACTTCATGTTGTTTCTTTTCTTTCTTGGCTTAAGCTCATATTTCATTGACCAATTAGGCTTGTTTTTTGTTTGTATCTCTCTTCATTCTCATATTTTAAATTGAAATTTTTGGGGAGTCAGGGTCTTGCTCTGTTGCCCATGCTGCAGTGTAGTGGCATGATCTTGGCTCACTGCAGTATCCACCTCTCAGGCTCAAGTGATCCTCCCACATCAGCTTCCCAAGCAGCTGGGACTACAGGCGCACACCATCATGCCTGACTCCTTTTGGTATTTTTTGAGTAGAGATGTGTTCTCATTATGTTGCCCAGGCTGGTCTCAAACTCCTGAACTCAAGCAATCCACCCACCTTGGCCTTGCAAAGGGCTGAGATTACAGGTGTGAGCCACCATGCCTGGGCAACATTGAGATTGATTTAAAGAAATTGATTAGGGCTGGGTGTGGTGGTGCACACTGCTTATCTCAACACTTTGAGAGGCAGAAGTGGAAGATTTACTTGAGCCCAGGAGTTTGAGACCAGCCTGGGCAGTATAATGAGGCCTTGTCTCTGCAAAGATAACAATAAAAACATTAGCATGGCATGATGGGACGCACCTGTAGTTCCAGCTATTCAGGAAGTTGAGGTGGGAAGATTGCTTGAGGTCAGGAGTTTGAGACAACAGTGAGCCATAATCAGGCCCCTGCATTCTAGCCCTGGGTTGACAGAGTGAGACCCAGTTTCATAAAAAGAGATTGATAAGAAACTCTTGATGCAACTCATTATAATTTTAAAATGGAAACTAATTCTTGATATTACCTTAGCAGTGTGTCCCCGAGAAAGTGTCAGAGCCTTTACCTGGATCTTCGCATGAAAAAGGAAACAGAATAGTCAATGGACAAGGAGAAGGTGAGAACCGTATTTTATTTAAAAAGTCATCTGATGGAGGCCGGGTGCGGTGGCTCACGCCTGTAATCCCAGCACTTTGGGAGGCCGAGGCGGGCGGATCACAAGGTCAGGAGATCCAGACCATCCTGGATAACATGGTGAAACCCCATCTCTACTAAAAATACAAAAAACTAGCCAGGTGTTGTTGTGGGCGCCTGTAGTCCCAGCTACTCAGGAGGCTGAGGCAGGAGAATGGCTTGAACCCGGGAGGCGGGGCTTGCAGTGAGCGGAGATACCACCACTGCATTCCACCCTGGGCGACAGAGCGAGACTCCGTCTCAGAAAAAACAAAACAAAAAAAGTCATTTGATGGAATGTTTCTTTGAAAATATGAGCACTAATAGAGTGTAATAGCTAAAGAAGGTGTCCTATTAACTGTATAATAAGTAAAGAAGTGAAATGGTGATAAGTTGTGTCTCTAACCAAGGGTCAGCAGTTGATTCTATTGGGAGTACCACTAAAGGAGCTGAGTTGTGAGTTCCATTTTAAGATACTCTAAGACCTGAGGCAAGTCAGGAGAGAGGGAAGAGGAAATGAATAAAGAGAAAGAAAGAATGAGGAGAGCGGAGTGTACATGGAATAAATAAAAAAGCATATGCAGAGGCAAGTAAGAGAGGATAGTAAAGGCAAATTGATCTGTAGAAGAAGGAAGAACATGGTGTTAGAAACAGGAAAGAAGATAAAGTGAGCTTCCAGTACCAAAATGTGTCAGAGAATTACAGTAACATTTTCCTTCTCTTGCTGTCATCCTCACTACTGGGGAGGCATTAAGGATTGAGGCACCTCACCACACAGACCTGTGTTTTATCTACCATAGATGAACATCACCAAAAATGGTCAGCCATGTATGGCTATAATTTGTTTTTATAGAAAATGTTGTAACCTCATAGGATAGTATCATATAGGCCAAATTAACATAATTGAATAGTGTTGGGTGATTTATGGAGAAGAAATTAATTCGAGAAGTTATTGCCTGATTAAAAGTTCATTAGAAACATTATGGCTTATAATGTAGTATTAAATTGAGGGACATAATAGGGAAGAAATTGAGGCTAGGCCAAAAGGGCAATTAGGGGAAACCAATATGGAAGCACATCAGTGTAGAACAGGGCATTCAAATTGTCATGAATGAGTTGAGGAGCTTCTGGAAGGTGCACATTCTGATTCAGCAGGTATGGGAGTCTGCATTTCTCATGAGTACTCAGGTGATTTTTGGTGCTGGTCCTTGGACACAGCTCTGAATAGCAAGGGAATAGCCTTCCTTTAGAGAACTCTGGAAAAAGAACCATTGGAGAGCAATTTAAAAAATAACAGAATCCAGGGAAAGCATTAATTTCCTTTTATTTCTGAGCATGATTCTAGCCACAGGGGAAGGAGAATGAGATGAAAACAGAGAGATTACAGGTGTATACTACTGCTGAATACAGATGAAAAAAGTGGTCACAATTATCCATAAAAAGCAGTTAGGAAGGGAAGCATCAGGATGACAGTTCTAAAAATCACTTTTTCAAAGGAAGAGGGATTGTGAAAGGACACGGAGGGAGGAAAGAAAGACATTTGCTGGGGTCTTGGGAGTTGAAGCCAAGTAAACTTGAGACAACTCACTTCCAGTTGCTTCAGCATATGCCCAGTCTCACAAAAGAGGTTATTGCTGTGGAGAGTACTGGAGGCAGGAGGGAGTGCTAGAGTTGGGGTAAACCACAGCAGCTCATTTCACTTGATAACTGTCAGGCCTCAGAGAGAGAAGTTTCACTGACATGAGTGAATAAGATGTGATTAAGTTGCATATAGATGCTTTGGCTAATTTTTTTTGATATTACAAAATTCATTCTGTGAATACCAAAATTCTCTTTTTCAATAAATACTGCACTGATTTTGAAATATAAATATGTATTCATATCCAGCAAGTCTGTGGTAATTCAGTGTTTTCTTTTTTGATAAATATTTTGATATCAGAAGCTTATTCGACATGGTTCATTTTATGTGATCCTTGCATGAGTGGATCAAGGAGCTCTAACTCAAGGCCAAATGAGGGGATAGGAGAAATGTAGGTGCTGCAGTAGCCCATGTGATCATGGGAAAAATGAGTAGTTTGATTAGCTGTCATTTCATAAGTGTGTATACTAGCTGATCAATGTAGAACACTTTCTTTGATGAGAGGTGAATCACACATTCACCTGAACTGTCATCCCAACTGTGTATTTCCTCAGTGACAAGACAAGGGGAATTTGTTTGTGGCATGCTGGCAGCAATGCCTCTGCTGTGTTGAGTTAAAATACTCTGTACATTCACCATCAGCTTTGACGTCGATTCCCTCAGGTTTGATTTGCTCCTCTGTTTAATGGTCCCTTTTCTCCTCATCAGTCCACGTGTTCACGGTGATATCCATGCTTTTCTATTTTAGGTATAGGCATTTGAAACATAATCTCACTACTGAAATGTAAACTGTGCATTTTAGGAATCCTATATTCCTATTTTTCTCATTATGTTTCTGTCATGTTGCCGTCCTAGGCAATGAAAAGATGCCAAGAAGAACCCTCAAAACCTTAAGTAATTATTTTTATAGCCAGGCATGAGAATTCAGCTCGATAGTACCACTGCATGAATGTTTGGTTGGCCCTGTCATACTTACATATAATTGATGACATATCCCCTTTGCTTTGTAGGGCCTCCTGCAAAACATCCTTCCTTGAAGGTAATTAATTATGTATATTTTTGAATCACTAACTCCATGTTGTATAAAATATATATGATTTATGAATCATTTTCTTTTAAAACCCATTCAGCCTAGCACTGAAGTGGAAGATCCTGCTGTGAAAGGAGCAGTACAAAGAAAGAATGTACAGACATTGAGAGCAGGTACATTTAATGGAATACTGGAAATAAGTACATTCAATGATTGGAAGTACTCACATTATTCTTATTCCTAATTCTATTTGTTCAAAATTGAATGGAAGGCATTGACATAAATGTTATTGTTGGTATCCATATTTGAATAAAAATAAATTTAGAAGCATAAAAAAGATTTTAAAAATGTAAGCTTTAACTCAGATGTTTCTCTTTTAATGTTTTGAATAGCATGAAGTTTTCAGTATAAAATTTTTATACCTGTCAGGGATTCAAAGCAGTGAATTTTGAGACTCTAAGATATTTCCAATGAGTTAAGTGCTACTTGGAGTTCTGAACTTTACCTAGAGGAAAGCTTTACTTATTAACATGTCAGATTCTGTTTTAACTTTAGAGGCTTGCTGCTAGTGTTATTACACTGATGATCTGAAGCCAATCAGATGTTCTAATGAGCAAGACTGTGTGTGTAGGTGTATATATAGCTGTGTGTATGTGTGTGTTTGTGGCATCTTTGACTATTAAAAATGAGGAAAGTAATGATTCATTTATAACTGATAGACACAGTCTTTTAAAATGGTGATTTTGAGACTTTTTGGTGTTAAGGTTTTTAAAACATGATTGCATAGAGGCTACCGACATCATAAGTTGGTTGTTTTTCATTTCAATGCCCTTTTGAAATCTTTAACTATATTGTGATGCTCAGAAATAATATGCAGAATTTTTTATTTGTGTCCCAAAATGGTATGTGAGTGGTTATACACTTTACATACCTTTCTGCCACTTTCTTTGGTGTATTTTGTATTATATTTTCCAGATGTATCCACATTGATATGATTATCTCTGGTTTAATTCATTTTACACTTTTCATTGTATTCCCTTATACCACTTTACCACATTTAGTTAGACTCTCCTGTTGCTGATAAATGAAGAAAGAAAGAAAAATAAAAATAATGTCAGATTAAGTGGGCTTTTCTTTAATCAGTTTGTATCTATTAATATTTACTATATGAGAGTTTAAAGTTGAAAAGTTCAGAATACAAGCATGCACCACCATATTTTATAAATGCCCTTAGAACTGTGACTCATGAGCCTTTAGCCTATGAAGTTAGGACAATTCATTTCTCTGAAGAAGTTTGTTGTGCTGTTCTCAGAAAAGAAAACTGAAAATAGCAAATGATATTGTCTTATTTGACCTCTTGGACATCTTTGAATGAAACTGCAACTCCAGGGATACTCAGATCAAAATTCAGAACTAATGTTTTGAACAATATAGTTTGTGAATGTCCAGTGGATCATGAGCCCTTGATGGGAAAATGACCTTTCAAGTTTCACTTTTGCATTTTTTGCTCTTTTCCTTGACTTGTCTTAAAAGCTTAAATTCAACCGTTTTATTTTTACAGAAACCGGGAATATAACTTTTAAAATTTATGTCTGTCCTGTCTCACGGTGTTGTGTACTCTTCAGATCTTGTGTGAATATAGACTTATGTGGGAACAATTAGGTGTTTTGTTTGTTTGTTTGTGTTTTTGAGACAGAGTCTTGCTCTGTCACCAAGGCTGCAGTGCAGTGGCTCGGTCTTGACTCATTACCACCTCTGCCTCTCGGGTTCAAGCAATTCTCCTGCCTCAGCCCCTCGAGTAGCTGATACTACCTGCATGTGCTACCATACCCTGCTAAATTCTCTATTTTTAGTAGAGATGGGGTTTCACCATGTTGGCCAGGCTGCTCTCAAACTCCTGATCTCAGGTGATCTGCCTGCCTCAGCTTGCCAGTATGCTTGGATTACAGGCAGGAGCCACTGTGCCAGGTACAAATAAGATTTTTAAGGCTATTATATTTTATACAATTCTTTGGTCTATGTGAATTCTGAAGGTATTCATGCATTGAGGGAAGATCATCTCAGTTTAATGAAAGCAGTTTTTAATGTATATTCGTTAAAAATTTTTTTGAAGTTTTTGTCTCTAGTACAGAGAAACACACAATATTGTCATGGGTATTTGACCTTAATGTGTTTATGCACAAACTTAGTTATTCAAATATTTTCTTATCCCTGAAGAATCCTAATTATTAATAAAAAAATTTCTCATGGAAAACAACATATATAATAGAGATTGTTGAGTGATAAAGTAAATTGTAGTAAATAACAGAAGCTTAGAACAAGTTAAGTAAACTTGTCTGAGTTAATAGCAATTACAGGACTTTTAAGATACATTAGACCATGAGGGAGTAGTGTGTTTGTGGGGTAGAGGACATCATGGTCCTGCTTCAGTGAAGAAAGAACTTTTACACCTTATTACAATTTGTATTACTATTTACATTCTAATAAAAACTTTATTTTCAGATATTTTAGATTATGTTTCTACTAGTTGAACCATCAATAGTAAGACTTTTCAAAGATTTGGGAAGTTGTGAGTTGATGATAAATATCTGTATCACCATTCGTGATCAAAAATCAGCAACTACAAGACTTTGGACACACGAACTTCATAGTTAAAGAAAGGATTAATCTTGGAGCTGTGTTTTTATCAGGGAATTATACTCTTCATTACCTCTGTGAATCGCAGTTATTAGAGTAGAAAGAGAGCAAAGAAGGGAAACAAACATAGAAAATTTTATTCTAGATTACCTCAGTTGGCTTCATGCTACCATAGTTCTGGCTTTTAAAAAGTCATTTTGTGGTCAAATGTACTTTGTGTTTACTCCCTTTATGCAGCCTACAACCAAACAAAATGCTTCTTAGCAAGGCATTTGTATTCTTCCCTTAAGGAAAGCAACATATAAATAACAAAGAGAATGAGGAGAAAGAGTAATTTCATTGAAGTTGGTATTTAACATAAATTTGTGTGCGGGTACCATGATTATATTTAGAATTTTGGGCCTGGAATAGAAAACCAGCTAGACATCTACAGATTTCCTACTCAAACACAATGTGCCTTTGTTTTATTTTTACATCTGTAATTTTGCAATTATTAGGTACAACTGTATGCAGTGTCACTAAAAATACCTTCCAAAACCAAATATTAAATAATGCCTATGGTTTTCTGTATTATAATGTTGATTTCCCCAATATTAATGGGAACCATTGAGCATTTGCCTTGTGGTGTCTCCTCAGCTGTATTCACACATTCCATCACCTTGTCTTAATGGATAATCATGCACTATGAGTATGGGTTTTCAGAAGAGCTGTATCATTTAAAGATAACACAGGAGCATCAAATTTAATTCTGCTAGAATACCTGGTCTATTGATTAACTGCAGCTAATATGGGGTCTACTTCACATACAAGTTAAATTCAGTGCCCTTAATCAGTCATATGGTCAGGTCAACAGTAATAAATTATGCAATATTTTTTCACCCCTATAGTTTTAATTTCTCTTTCCCCTTATGTCTAGAATTAACATTTTATTTTACAAAACATGATGATAATCTTCTAGAGTAGTGATGACAAAGTATAAATCCAAAGTTTCTTACCTATGCAAATGACTTGTTTGCTTCTATTTTCTCATGAGCTTGGTAGATCCAGGAAACAGAACTTTTAAAACAAAATCCCCATATGTGGCTGGGCGCGGTGGCTCGTGCCTGTAATCCCAGCACTTTGGGAGGCTGAGACGGGCAGATAACCTGAGGTTGGGAGTTTGAGACCAGCCTGACAAACATGGAGAAACACATCTCTACTAAAAACACAAAATTAGCTGGGCATGGTGGCACATACCTGTAATTCCAGCTACTCGGGAGGCTGAGGCAGGAGAATCACTTGAACCTGGGAGGCAGCAGTTGCGGTGAGCTGAGATTGCACCACTGCACTTCAGCCTGGGCAGCAAGAGTGAAACTCCATCTCAAACAACAACAACAACAACAACAACAGCAACAGCAACAACCACCACAAAACCCAAATGCATTTCCTTGGCACAGTAAAACTGAAACAGAAAAAGTGTAAAGTAAATACAAGTAACTGAAACAGTTTATGTATATTATTTTACTTCTCATTTGATAAAATTTGTAAAGTAATGAGCAGAGTGTATTTCTCCAGGGACCCAGATATATACATTTATTCATTCAATAAAAATTCATGCTTACAATGGCCACTGATACTTATGTCCTAAATATTTCTGAAAACATCTCCTCAGGCCTGCATCATCTTTGCAACACTGCCTTATATTTTATCTTTGTTCATTGATTTATATGCCTCAGAATTTTATGCTCCTCACAATAATTAGAGTTAATTATCTCTAATGCAAATAGATCTGTGAACCACTCCTGAATACCTATGTCCAAGCATCTTAAAGTTTTATATAAGGATTTCAGAAACTGATTTCTGGGTTGGGCATGGTGGCTCGTGTCTATAATCCCAGCAATTTGGGACGCTGAGGCAGGTGGATCATTTGAGGTCAGGAGTTCAAGACCAGCCTGGCCAACAAGGTGAAACCCCATCTCTAATAGAATACAAAAATTAGCAGGTGGTAATGGCACATGCCTGTAATCTCAGCTACTTGGGAGGCTGAGGCAGGAGAATTACTTGAACCTGGGAGGCCGGGTTGCAGTGAGCCAAGATCATGCCACTGCACTCCAGTCTGGGAGACAGAGTAAGACCTTGTCCCAAAAAAAGAAAAGAAAAGGAAACTGATTTCTGCCCAAATCTCCATCTGTAGCCCTTTCCCCATCTGCCTTTTTCTCTGGAATTACTGAGCTGCTGGTAATGGCCCCCTCACCATTCCTCTTTTGCAGAGAAATACATACTCTCTTGGAGGCTTCTCTCCCTCTCTTGTTGCTGCCTGGCATGTGCTCATCCTTTCCTGCCCTCTGCCTCACTTAATCTGGCTAACCTTACTCTCTAAGTCTCAGCTCATGCATGATCTTTAGGAAAGCCATCCCTGACAGCTTTTATTTTCCTTCCTTATACCCCAGTGCCTAACACTTAGCAGGAACTCAATAAGTAATTATTTAGCAAAATTAAGACTGTTTATACAAAGATGATTCAAAAGATTGTCCTCTACAGTCTAACAGCAAAGGGGATCAACATGTAAAGACATGATGTGCAGTTCAGGTGGTAAAGTGACGCTGGAAAAGTTGACAAAGTACTAAGGAACTCCAATGAAGCAGACACCTGTGTGTGTGGAGAAAGACAGCTAGAATCAAGGAAGACTTCACACAGCATTCTGAGCCTTTTTTTTTCTTTTTCTGTTGTTGGAGACAAGTTCTTACTCTATCACCCAGGGTGGAGTGCAATGGTGTGATCGAGACTCACTGCAACCTCAAACTCCTGGGCTCGAGGGATCTTCTCACCTAAGCTTCTTGAGTAGCTGGGACTACAAGCACATATCAACATACCTGTCCAATTTTTTGTAGAGTCAAGGTTATCTATGGTTCCCAGGCTGGTCTTAAACTCCTGGCCTTGAGCAGTTCCCCCATTTTGGCCTTCCAAAGTGCTGGGATTACAGATGTGAGCTATTATGCCCAGCCTACTTTCTGAGTCTTAAAAGATGAAAATAAATTTTTCAGAATAGTAGGGGAAAACATTTGCGATGTAAAAAATGGGGTGCACACTAATTAAGGTATAAACAACAATAATTTTGCAAATTATTAGTAACTGCCAACTCAATTAGTGTCTTGTTAAAAAGATACTGTTATGAAGTATAGTAAAGTGTTACATTGTATATTTTGACTGTATTTCAAAATTTTATTTTGTTTCTAACAGTTTTGTTGATTTATGTTGGGTGGAACAATTTGTGAGTGACCCTGAGATTTCATATGGCTTGAACCTGGTGATATCTAATGTCTCCCCAAGTGGTTTGTTGAAATTTTGGATGATTAGAAGTATTTCTTAAAGAACTAAATATTTCAGTAAACATTAAGCTTCATTGAAACTCTCAAAATATAAAATACAAAGAAATGTTATTCTCTATTTATTTTTATATAGATTATAGTCTTTATCTAACTGTTCTTAGTTCATTTGAACTAAACCAATGAATTTGTCAACAGAACAAGCCTTACCAGTGGCTTCAGAGGAAGAGCAAGAAAGGCATGAAAGAAGTGAAAAGAAGCAACCACAGGTATATGAAAATTCAAGTTTCTTGTTTAATATTGGGTTTTGTTTTTTTGCTTCAGTAACAAAGCATAGTCCAAATGACATGACCTTTTAGACTATACCTTTAGAATCCGATAGATCATAATTTTATATTTAATTTTTAAAACATCTTAACCAGTTATGAAACTTAAGATATTCTTACTATCTCTAGTAACTATTAGTTATTCTGGTAATTCTTACTATCTCTAGTAACTCATAGCTGTCTTTACCCTTGGAATTGAGGCAAGACATTTTCAGAATTATCTTGCTCTTTTATTGTTATAACCTTACTCATAATACAGAAGGTAACATGAAATATTGGGTCATATTATTAAGGAATAGAAATTGTGAACAATTTAACAATGATGGCCACTGAGTTAAACTAGTGTTAAAGGAGTCATCATTGCCAGTGGTTCAAATGTTGCAGTTTTATATTGCTGGTCACCAGTGCCGAGGTTAAAGATTTATTCTGTTTTGTGGTCACCATTTGACTTCTGTGTCTGTGTTCAGGGAGTGAATGGGGTCATAAAAGTCAACCCAGTTGCCTATTAAGAGAATCCTACCTTGTGGAATGGGACCTTTGGTGTCAGGGTACAAACAATAACTTTATTTTGACATAAATACATAGTAAATGTTACTAAAATTTAAAAAATCCATCCACTATCACTAGTGGAACTTAAAATATATTAGAAGTGGATATAAGCAGATAATCCATCTAGATACATAACACTATCATAGTATATTATTTGAATTAGAATTTAAAATTTTGCTTCCCTTTCTTATTGGTGTTCAGTTTGGCTCTTAATAATTCAGTGTTTGCCTAGTCTGTAGTTAATCTTCAGAAATATACACGTACTGTAGGGGCTCACTTTTTCTGGTATGCTGAGGTAAAATCTTTGTAAGAGAGGAAGATTTTATAATACTACCTATCAGCTTTGAATTCATTTCTGGTAGATTTTACACATAATGCATTAAGTTTAATCGAAACAAATGCTAAGCGTTCAGCTTGCCAGTTCATATTTCTGTCCTATGTTAAGCCAAGGCAAATTATTTTTCACTTTTTAGTTACAATCCCATAATTTAAGGGTGGCAACACATAGATTAAGTTTCACAGTTAAATTTTAATTATTTTCTAGTATTGTTGTTTATACTTGATTAAAGCTAATTTTAAAACATGCACTCTGACAGAAAAGGCATCTGAGAAACAAAACAAGCAAATTTGTTTTCCATTTTGCACCTGCCAAAAAAAAAAAAAGTCTCAAGAACCAGAACTGGGTAAGAATTGTGATAAAGGGAATAATCTGTCTGTATATTCACGACTTTCTTTAAAATTCATTACAAACAAGTTCAAGCTGAATATTGGTGAAAGTTTTGAAAACTCCAGAATTACTGCTTGCCCTGAGGAAGAGCTCCTACATAGTAACTCTAAAGAGGGACGAACAAAAAAGGAGTGCCCTCTAATCTGATGAATCAGGTCCCTGATTGTGAGGAGGAAGATGCATCTGGAGGGTCTAACTCTGTGGCATTCCAGGCAGCGCCTGAACAGAGGAAGCCCATGTCAAATGTCTTTTTATTCCATTCATACTCCAGGTCCCTGAAATACAGTTACCAGTCATCTTCTAAGCTTCATTTAAATGAAAATAAATCAGACTATAAAAATGATAGCAAACCAGACACATAGCTTGTTTCTAACACAGATGATGAAAATTTTTGTAATGATACTGAAACCAAAAAATTAAGGAACCCAGTAATTATGATTGAAATGAAAGATGATTAAGAGTTTGACATGCAAATGGCAAAAAATGTAAACCCAGATACCACTAATTGGAAATTGGACATTAGGCATTGGCCTCAGTCTAGAGATCCAGAAAGTCTTTTTGATTTGTTGTTTACCCACCCCAAAGAAATGAAGCATATGATTCAGATAGAAAGCCACAGTATTTCTGCTGCTACAGATACTTATAAAAACAGAAAACCAATACAGCGTTTATTCCAGCAGCCACTATATGGCAATCCCAGTGCTAACAACTACAGAAGCATGAATCTTGAATTATAAAATGTGAGTTATTCTTTGCCACATAGTGAGAGAACATCAAAAATATAGCTAGAAGACTTATGGGAAGATATTCCAAGGTCACCAACATGGCACATGAATAGATATGTAACAAACCTGCATGTTGTGCACATGTACCAGAACTTAAAGTATAATAATAATTAAAAAAAGAATGAGGTAGGCATGTTACAAGTTGAGTTCCTGGCTTTGGAGAAAAGCAAGTCCAACTTCAAAAAGACAGAGGTTCACTTGCTGCTTCTTTTTCCTCTTTATCAATTATTTGATTTAGTCAAATTTTCTGTTCAAGAAAATGTCATGTGTACAGTTACAGTGGGGTTATCTAAATGTGTAATTATGTGTCAAAGTAGATTAGTTCTGCTATCTAAATAATGGTTCTGGAGAATGTTCTCATAATGTTTGTTCATTAATCAACCTATGTCTCACTATCAGTCTTCCAAGTGGCGTATGAGCTGGGAAACTAATTAAGCCACATACCATGTGACCTTCTGAACCAGATCAACATAAAGAAATTGCTAAAGAAACAAGCTCTAGATTCTAGATTCTTTTTTCTTGTATTCATTTAGAGATAATTTACATTTATTTAATGATAGAATGGGAATACAATGGGAGGGAAGCAATGACTGAGACAAGCCACAAAAACACGTCTAGCCTTGAGAGTTGCAACGAATATTCCCAGCCAAATGAGTCTGTTTAATGTGTTTTCATGCATGCAAGTTTATCTGCTTAGCTCAAACTGTTTGAACTTACAGTCCCATCATGGTTATTTCCAATATTTTTGAAAACATATACTTACACATATTTTAAAAAATCACCACTCTGCAATATTTCTGTTGAATCAGACCTTACGTTATGTTGTTTAATAAAGTATGGTGAGTTTTGGCATGTATGATTTTTATCATATAAGAAGCATAATTTCTTAGCCAAAAATTTAGCCTTTGACTCTTTAGTAGAAAGTTGAGTTCTGTACATTGTGTTCTAAAGATAGACAAAAATCTAGAGATTTTCTTCTTTCAAAGTAAAAGCAGATGAGGCCTTTTTCCACCCTCTGAGGCATTAAATTGCTTTGCTCAAGTTAGACTTTTAATATATCTAATTTGATAAATTTATCTGGTAATTTATGTAATTCAGCAATATGGAATTGTATCATGTTATATGGTGCCATGAAATGCTAGTGAATGCCACCTCAAGAGCTCTGGATGAAACATTTAATATGTCTTGGTTGGTTTGACTCCCATTATCAGTAGATAATGGGGTTAAAGTAGGTAACTGTACCATATGTTTTCCACCTATAAACTTTTGTGGTAATTGAATGTGAAATCTGGGAAGCATCTCATTTTCCAGAATTCTGCACTAGAAACTCAGCAGTTTCACTCTGCTTCTTTTGTTGTGGCAAACGTTGGTTCCCATAATTCAAAGAGAACCTTTACTTTTTTGATATCACAGGATTCAAAAAAAAAAAAAGAGAGATAAAAGGCAGTGGGGAAAAGAGTAGCTCAGTACAGAAAAGGGAAAACTTCTTTACTGTTCCCGAAGGCCTACAAGGTCACATCCTCTTAATCTGGCTATTTCATGTAAAATCCAGGTAGTAAAGACAGAAGACATATATTATGCCTGTGTCTTTTTATTTCTCTGTTTCTGCCAGCCAGATAGCATAAAAATTTATACCAGATAGCAAAGAGTGGATGGGAATAAAAGCACAAAATGGAGAAGAGCCCTTTTTGAAATTTTGGAAAATTCTTCTATTCCCTCAAACAGAAATGAGCAGATTTGACAAAAATTTCGATGATAAAATAAGAGTATCTTATAATTATAATAATTATGTATAATGATAAAATTAAAGTAAGCACAAAATACTTTTATCATTAAAGTGGTGATAGTTAACCTGAATCAAGTAAAAAAAATCAGGGAAAAAGTTCTTTTTATTGAATAAAATAATAACAATTATTATTCATCTTTTATTAAAGGTCAAAGAAGGAAATAATACAAACAAAAGTGAAAAAATACAACTTTCAGAAAATATATGTGATAGTACATCTTCTGCTGCTGCTGGCAGATTAACCCAACAAAGAAAGATTGGGAAAACGTATCCTCAGCAATTTCCCAAGAAGCTGAAGGAAGAGCATGATAGGTAAGCCTATAGCAGTGTTTTTTTTTTTGTTTGTTTGGTTTTGGGTTTTTTTTGTTTGTTTTTGTTTTTTTGAGATGGAGTTTCTCTCTTGTTGCCCAAGCTGGAGTTCAATGGTGTGATCTCAGCTCACTGCAACCTCTGCCTCCTGGGTTCAAGCGATTCTTCTGACTCAGTCTCCCTAGTAGCTGGGATTACAGGCATGTGCCACCATGCCCGGCTAATTTTTTGTATTTTTAGTAAAAATAGGATTTCACCATGTTAGCCAAGCTCGTCTCGAACTCCTGACTTCACGTGTTCTGCCCACCTCGGCCTCCCAAAGTGCTGGGTTTACAGGAGTGAGCCACCGTGCCTGGCCGCCTATAGCAGTATTTCACAGGAGATAATTGTCATTGTGCTATAAACTAATTGAAAATTGGACTAATATTCCTTATGATTAACAAGTTTTATATTTTTACCAGGGGTATTTAGCCCTGCCTGGTAATCAGAAAAAAGCAAATTAACATAAAATAAGATATATTTTGTAAAGTCATGCTGATATTTAAAAAGTAATTATTAGTGTTGGCAAATGTGAGGAAAAAGGCATTCTCATACACTGTTGGTATAGGAAATTAGTAAATTATTTCTGAAGGGTAACTTAGTGCTGTGTATCAAAATTTCAAATAGCCTGACATCCCTTTAACTCAACAACTCCACTTCTGGGACTAGATTTCACAGGAAAACATAACTGGTGTAAACATACACACACTTATTAATATATAATTAACATGCATTAATTATATATTACACATAATGAACAATAGGTTAATGAATATATAAAATATATGTAATAAGGTGAATTGAAAGTATTAAGAAAGAAATATAAAAAGTGTGGGGAAACAGATGTTAGACTTTTTAGCCTAGTTTTGGATGACAGTCATCTGCAGATATAGTTTGTGTGAGAGACATCTGAAGGTGTCATCTCACTCTGTAAATCATTTGGAGAAACACCTGCAATATTTCATAAAGATGAAAATTTATTTCTAGTGAACTTATACGCTTGTCAATAAATAGTAACTTTAAAAATTTAGTTGATTGTAAATGATCTTTTCTAATTAGGGAGTAATTATGACTGTGTGATTTAAAAAGGTAATTTTGAACCTGTAACTTTACTGAATTATCTCTGGTATCCTTTTTTATAATATATATTAGAGTGACTAGTAACAAAAACTTTAGCAGAATATTCTTTCCTTACTACTTTTCAAGTATATGCATTCATTTGAAGATGTTGAAGTGAGAAATTAAATATCTGAGAACTGCAAAGGAAAAATAATCCAGAACATAGAAATTTTATTAGGATAATAAACAACATCTGCAGAGGTAGGTAACAGGATGAACTCCTTATTTTTTAACAAAATGAATTTTAAGACAAATGTCTTTATCTGCAGATGCACCTTAAAACAAGAAAATGAAGAAAAAACAAATGTTAATATGCTGTACAAAAAAAATAGAGAAGAATTAGAAAGGAAAGAGAAACAATATAAGAAAGAAGTTGAAGCAAAACAACTTGAACCAACTGTTCAGTCACTAGAGATGAAATCAAAGACTGCAAGAAATACTCCAAATTGGGTAAATCAATCTTTGGTAAAAATTCTATATTTTAAACTTTATCTTATCACTGTTACTTATAATATCCACTTGATTTAATATATATTGTTTAGGTCTAAAACCATAAATGTTATCTCATTTTTAAAAATGAATGATGACACTTACAGGTACAATTATTAATATTTATTATAAATCTTGGCATCCACATAGGATATTATTTTATTACAAAGAG
Source organism: Homo sapiens (assembly GCF_000001405.40). Taxonomy (NCBI): domain Eukaryota; kingdom Metazoa; phylum Chordata; class Mammalia; order Primates; family Hominidae; genus Homo; species Homo sapiens. The sequence goes on from NC_000009.12 coordinate 67,899,539, forward strand.
CTTTTGAAAACAATAATATGCCATAATTTATACTTAGTGATAACCTATTGATAAAAATTTTGTTCCAGGTAAAATTTTTCCTTGTACTTTCCCCTATTTCATATTGATTACTGCACCTAATATTATAAAGAGGAAACAGAAATTATTGCAATCGCAAATAATCTCATGATATTCTAAGAAGAGCTCTATAAATTTTATCTTATTTACTATTGGCGTTTTGAAATAAAAGTTTTCTTTCGTATTGATGTATTTACACCACAGAAGTAACTGTGATCTGTTGGAGAACTAGAAGTAGAGTCAGAAGTCCTGGGGAAAATCCTGTAGCTTGCTTATATTTTTAACATTTCTTTTTCAAAATTATGGTAACTAGATGAGTTCATCAATGAATGTATATAGGAGTGACTAGTATAATGTCTAGTTTATGATTTAGTGAATGTAATTCTTATAACTGACTATAAAAGTGTTAAAAGAGTCAAACTGAAATAGAATGTTATCAGTGAAACAGAACTGTAATAACTCTGGGAAATTTTATCTGTCCAAATATGTGTGAACAAAAGTTCTTACTATAGGGTGGTGTATGGGTTAGGTATCAAAGTGTAAATGCAATTTTTTGATATATCTTAATTTAGTCAAATTTGTTAATGCTTTAATTTATGCTTTTGAGTTTGTTGTAATTCAGGGAAAGGCTTTTCCAATTCTGATATTCTTAAAAATTCTCTGGTGTGTGTGTGTGTGTGTTTACTTTTATAAATTCATTGACTCTAAATACATTTCTGAACTTTCTGGAATTTATGCTCTATAAGGTTCAAAGTTTTGCTTCAACTTTTTCTCCAGGTGGATATCCACTTATGGTAAACTTTTTAGTGGTACGGATGTGCAGGTTATTCTTTAACTTCAGAGGTAATCATGATATTTTATTGAGTACTAGCTAAAATTTTCTTTTGTTTTATTTAGGATTTTCATAATCATGAAGAAATGAAAGGTCTGATGGATGAAAATTGCATTTTGAAGGCAGATATTGCTATACTCAGACAGGAAATATGTACAATGAAAAATGACAACTTGGAAAAAGAAAATAAATATCTTAAGGACATTAAAATTGTTAAAGAAACAAATGCTGCCCTTGAAAAGTATATAAAACTCAATGAGGAAATGATAACAGAAACAGCATTCCGGTATCAACAAGAGCTTAATGATCTCAAGGCTGAGAATACAAGGCTCAATGCCGAACTGTTGAAGGAAAAAGAAAGCAAGAAAAGACTGGAAGCTGACATTGAATCTTATCAGTCTAGACTGGCTGCTGCTATAAGCAAACACAGTGAAAGTGTGAAAACAGAAAGAAACCTAAAACTTGCTTTAGAGAGAACACGAGATGTTTCTGTACAAGTAGAAATGAGTTCTGCTATTTCCAAAGTAAAAGCTGAGAATGAGTTTCTTACTGAACAACTTTCTGAAACACAAATTAAATTCAATGCCTTAAAAGATAAGTTCCGTAAGACAAGAGATAGTCTCAGAAAAAAGTCATTGGCTTTAGAAACTGTACAAAACGACCTAAGCCAAACACAGCAGCAAACACAGGAAATGAAAGAGATGTATCAAAATGCAGAAGCTAAAGTGAATAATTCCACTGGAAAGTGGAACTGTGTAGAAGAGAGGATATGTCACCTCCAACGTGAAAATGCGTGGCTTGTACAGCAACTAGATGACGTTCATCAGAAAGAGGATCATAAAGAGATAGTAACTAATATCCAAAGAGGCTTTATTGAGAGTGGAAAGAAAGACCTCGTGCTAGAAGAGAAAAGTAAGAAGCTAATGAATGAATGTGATCATTTAAAAGAAAGTCTCTTTCAGTATGAGAGAGAGAAAACAGAAGGAGTAGTAAGTATCAAGGAAGATAAATATTTTCAAACTTCTAGAAAGACAATTTAAACATTTGGTTCTGGATACATGTTGAACTTAGTTGAATATAAAAATCTAGATTAAAAGTGTGTTTACCATACTGTATAATTCCATTTACATGAAGCATCCAGAAAAGATAAATGTATAGGGACAAAAAGTAGATTCATGTTTGCAAGGGGCTGGGGCTGGAAGCTGGTAGTGACTGCTAATGGGCATGAGGAATCTTACAGTGATGGAAATGCTCTAAAGTTGGATTGTAGAGATGGCTGCACAACTCAGTAAATGTACTAAAAATCTTTTAACTTAAAACAGATACATTCTATAGTATGTAAATTATATTTCAACAAAGCTGTTTTAATAAAAAAAGGAAAAATGTGTTTACTATATCGGCTTAGAAACATGCCTCATTTCTAGGAAATAAAAGATAGAGGTGAGAGATGATTTACTTTGAGAAAAGACATTGTGTCACCTATGAAATTTTATTAGGCACAGAGTCATATTTTAAGGTAGATAGTTCTGTATTGCTGAAATAGTAATTTTAATGTCTTTATGTTGCCACATGTTAAGACCATAATGTAGTTATAAATGGAAATGTTTACACCTGAAGTGAGTATTTTCAAATTAAAATTTAATTAAGTGATTTTCTTCGACACTTAATTCTAGATTCCCCAGATGAATTGAAGTGTATTGCTGTGTCTTGTAATACCTTGCTTTAACTAGCTTTTTATGTATTTTAGTTGGTATAGCTTTGTTATTATTCATATTAACAAATCTGAAAATATGTCAAATTACGTGTTTTTATGACCATGTAATGTTTTAAAGGCACCTACTTGTTATAAAATCATAATTTAGGATAAATGTGGTAAAACTTAGCAAAACTATATTTGGTTTAGTTTTCCCACTGGTATTTATAGTTTACTTTGAATATTTATATTAATAATTAGCTCATAATTTTTATTGCAAGGCTCAATGACTGTCATTGGAATATAATTTTGTTCAGTACAAAGATACTTGTAGCTGTCTGTGATTTACGAGTTAGGCACTACATCTCCATTTTCAGACTGAGGGGTGGCAGGCTTCACATACAGTGGGAATGGAGTAATTACAGGAGGGAGTTGTAGGAGCTTTGAAGTCAGAGAGGGAGGTAGAGGCCTTTTTACCTAGGGCCTCAAAGGCCATTGGAATTTTACTTTTATTCTGAGATAGGAATCTGTTGGAAGGATTTGAACAGGTGATTGAATATGTTAGGAACTTTGAGGCTGAGTTGAGCTTCTGAGATGATTGAATGTTGGAATGAATCTGTTGTGTAAGTAAGAGAATACCAATTTGGCAGGAAGAGAACATATTCTGCATCCCTCACTGAATTCAGTAATAAATAAAAATGTGTACATGTGATTAAAAGAAGGTGAATTGATATGTGTGGTGATAATTTTCAAAGTAGATATGTTGGAATTAAACATTATTAACATAATTTAATAAGGCAGTTTATAAAATCAGTAACAAATATTTTATCAGGTGGTTGTGAGACAACTTCAACAAGAAGTGGCTGACAGCGTAAAAAAATTAACGACGTTAGAGTCTCCACTGGAAGGTATATCACGTTGTCATATTAATTTGGATGAGACACAGGCCTCAAATAAGAAATTATTTCAAGTGAAAAGTCAAGTATGTATGGAATTTAACATGTCAACAGTTATTCTGTAGCTAGTTGAATTATATAACGTGTTTTAGGATACTAATTTTGGCAGAAGCTTGATTTTTTATTTTCATTATAATGAATGATTTCCATTTTACTATCTTTATAATGTACTTTTTTTTATATTGTGACTTTCATTATACCATTTTGAAAAACCATTGCATACCTTTTCTCTTACAATATGTACCCTTGGAAAAGTTGAGAATTATACATCATTCCTCATAGAAAATTGACTTTTTTCCTGTTAAACAGTATTTTTAAGTAATTTGTGTATTGCTCTGATGAGGCAAGCCAGATTAAATCAGAGGAGAATGTTTCATGGAATGTTCCAGAAAATTGTCTTATTTCTTCACTTTTGTGAATGGACACAGAATCTGTGTCTATTTGTTTCACAGATTCTAGGTTAACTTGTACAGAAAGGCCATTATACTATTCTTTGAAATGTGCATGTTTTAGGTTAATTTACAAACTATTTGAAAAGTTAGGCATTTTCTTTATCTTTTATTTAAAATATACTGTAAAACTGTAGAAATATTTAGATTTGATATAGCATGTACATCAAAAATTAAGAGTTGAGAAAATTATCTTGATCCTGCCTTTGGATTTTAAAAAGATTCACTGAGATGTCATTCACATATCAGACAGTTCAACCATTTAAAATGTACAACTCAGTGTCTATTAGTATGTTCACAGCATTTTCGTCACCCTGAAAAGTGACCCCACATCTCCTAGGCATGACTGCAGCCTTCCTCCATGTCCCTCCACCTACCCCTGTTGTAGGCAACCACCGTCTACTTTTGTCTCCATATGTTTGCCTGTTCTGCATATTTCATATACATAGAGTTATACAATATGTAGTCCTTTGTGACTGGCTTTTTCACTTAGCATAATGTTTTCAGAATTCATGCATGTTTTAGCACACATTCGTAGTTTATTTCTTCTTATAGTTAAATGATATTCTATTCCATGGCTATACTGGTTTTCCATTCGTTCATCAGTTGATGGACCTTTAGGTTAGTTTCCACTTTTTAGCTATTATGAAAAATGCTGCTGTGAACATTCACTTACAGGTTATTATGTGGACACGGGTTTTTATTTCCCTGCCATTGGACTTTATCCTCAGAGTTAATTGGGCAGATTTCAGCACTTGTCTTGCTCATGCTATTCTTTCTGCCTTCTCAGTTTCTGTTCATCTAGCCTCATTCATTCAGACCTGGCAGACAATTTTTTTGTTTTCATGAAGCTTTCTCTGACTGTTCTGTCATTGACCTTATGTGTTAGCAATCGTTGTCTAGTCTGTGCTGAAAAACTTAGTCCTTAATTTTACATGGCTTTTATTTTTTTATGGAAGATAATTTTCTCTCATTATAAATTTGCTTAATGGGGGAATAATATATAATGTGTATGCCACCTATCCTTGCATACATTGAAAATATTTTAGCTTAGAAGTTTGTAGCATACAATTCAATCATTTATACCATACCAATTATTTCTTCTTTGAGACCTTGACACAGTAAGGTTATATTCTAAATATATTTTTAGCAATTAAATATCAAATCTAACCCAATTAGTCTAACACAGGAGATGCGTTCAATCACGTGTTTATGTTTTTCTCTCTATGAAAAAGAATATAAATTGGCCTTTTTTCACTATGCAGCCATTACTGTGTTTCTGGACTGCTCCCAGTCTGTCAGCTGAACAGTTCTGGGTGCAGCTTGTCTGATGAAGGATAGCACAGCCCCTCAATCTGAGTGCTCAGCAGAGTGCTTGTGAAGGCAGCACCACAGCAACAGTTGCTCAGAGGGAACGGATTCAGGAGCCTTGACTTAGCAATAGAGTCCAGGGTTTTCAGCTCAGTGTCTTTAGCCTGTCTCTGCTGGTCATGTCAGTTACGTACTATTCCATCCAGGAGGTGCTATTTACATTGTAGTACATACACAGTCATTGCCTAATGAGTCATACAGAGAGAAAAGTAAGTTATAAATTATGTCCCCCATTTGCTGCAACTCTCAGTGTTAAGAATGATTCAGTGCAGCTATAGGAGACTACTTCCATTGGCATGCCACCTGCGTAAATACACAATTTTGTTAAGATATACAATAAAATTATTATGCTAATAGCAAATATTTTATGTAGCTCACTATGTTCCATGTAGTCTTCTAAGTGCTTCATGTTAGTCCCCAGTTAAACACCTGGTTTTGGAAGGCTGAGGCAGGAGGATTGCTTGAGCCCAGGAGTTTGAGACCAGCCAGAGCAATATAGTGAGACTCTGTCTCTAAAAAAAAAAAAAAATTTTTTTAAACACTTAGCTGAGGCATGGTGGTGCATGCCTGTAGTCCCAGCTACATTGGGAGGCTGTGGTAGGAGGGTTGTTTGAGCTTGGAATATTGAGGCTGCAGTGAGCAGTGATCAAGCCACTGCACTCCAGCCTAGGTAGCAGAGGGAGACTCTGTCTCATAAATAAAACATGTTGTATAGATTCCCATAGAAGTGAGTTAGACATCAGGCATAGAATTATTAGCCGCTTTGATGTCTGCCTTGGGAGTAAAACACATAATAAGGGGCAGCTTTAAACCATCTCAATCAATAGCCTCTAACTTCTCCAGAAGGTTCTTATTTCATGAATTTCTAAGCAAGGGACTACCTGGATTAAGACATTTGGTAGACACCATTTTGAGATGAAGAATCTTGAATGGGAAGAAGGGAGATCTCTACTTACTGAAGCTTCCCGATGACATAGTTGAGTGTCCCCCAAAAAGAACTTTAGAACAAGATGTTCATCATGCCATATCTCTATGGAAAAGGAAATTATTTAAAAGAAAACAAAGGCAAACAATTGATAATCTGATTCTCATGGGAAAGTTTTCATTATCAAAGAAAAAGAGGGCTGGGTTCCATGGCTCACATCTGTAATCCCAACACTTTGGGAGGCTGAGAGGGGTGGATTACCTGAGGTCAGGAGTTCAAAAACAGCCTGGCCAACATGGTGAAACCCTGTCTCTACTGAAAATACAAAAATTAGCCAGGCGTGGTGGTGTGCACCTGTAGTCCCAGCTACTTGCCAGGCAGAGGCAGGAGAATCACTTGAACCCAGGAGGTAGAAGTTGCAGTAAGCTGAGATGGCACCACTGCACTCCAGCCTGGATGACACAGTGTGACTCCATCTCAAAAAAAGAAAAGGACAAAGTATATTGGTCCAAAAAAGAAGAAAGAATGAAAAAAAGGACAAAGTATACTGGTTAGTATCGTAACAGTGAGATAGTCCCCCTTTGAGATTAGAAAATAACAGTATACTCAAAGTAACATCAATAAGAACCAACATAAAATAGACAAGATTCACTATCTACAAAAGTAATCTGCACCAAGTAGCAATGTATGAGCATGTGGTGGAGAATATTGTCTATAATATGTGTACTAGAAGGAAGAGACCTCAAGAAAAAGGTCAGAGCTGGAAATGTAGATTAGGGAATCTAGGTCAAAGTTTTGAGATTTTAGGAGTCCTGAGAGAATTTAAAAAGCGAAATAGCCGCCGGGCGTGGTGGCCACACCCGTAATCCCAGCACTTTGGGAGGCCAAGGCAGGCAGATCATGAGGTCAGGAGTTCAAGACCAGTCTGACCAACATAGTGAAACCCCGTCTCTACTAAGAATACAAAAAATTAGCTGGGTGTGGTAGCACATGCCTGTAATCCTAGCTACTTGGGAGGCTGAGGCAGGAGAATCGCTTGAATCCAGGAGGTGGAGGTTGCGGTGAGCCGAGATCATGCCACTGCACTCCAACCTGGGTGACAGTGGGAGACTCCATCTCAAAACAAAAAACAAAAACAAAACAAAAAACCAGAAAAGGATAGGGCTGAAGAACAGAGGTTGCTAAATTTAGAAATGAAGTGGGGTCAGAGGAATAGAAAGGGATAGGGCTGAAGAACAGAGGTCACTGCATTTAGAAAGGAAGTGGGGTCAGAGGAGCAGAGGGAGCATTTGGTCACTGCTCTGCTGAGTAAAGCAGGATAAAGTCCTTCATGACCGTTGGACTTTTTTATTGGAATTATTAAAAATCAGATTTCAGTATAAAAAACACAATAATTGATGAAAAAAGATTTCTGAATGAAACCATGTGTCATAGAGTCCAATGGAAGGGGAGAAACAGGATAATAGAAAAGCCACAAAAAGTAGACGAAAGTTGTTTTTGTTTATTGTAGAAAAAATAAACTTTATTTAAAGAGAAATGGTTAAGAGAAAGGGAAAAACTGAAACCTGTGGGTGAATACTTAGAATGACAGTATTTAGCTCAGCCTGAAGACAGATGAGGATGAAAAATGTAATGGGAACTAGATAAGAGTTTTCTAAAATTTGTCTTAGTAAGATGTAATTTAAGAGAACTTGGAATATCTTAAACTGTTAAAAACAATATTTCTAGAGCATCTTTAAAAACTAAAATGTAAATATAACTACTCTTTTTTTTTTAACTAACCCTTAGTATTTTGTGTGTAAAAACCCTCATTTGTAACAAACATTGTTGGCAGTTTAAATTTCAGAAAAGATAATGATGAAAATTTGAATCATTTTTAGCAGTTTTAAGAAAAGTGACTATTATTGAAATCTGACCTTATTGGCATCAGGTTTATAAAATGCACTTTATACACCTGCATAAATACGTATTACTAATCCACTTATGAGAAATAATATTTTTGAGATAAAAGAGGGTCTCCAGATTTTACAAAAATAATTTTAAACACTTTTTTTAAGCCTAAAAAAGAAAATGAAGAATTAAGAAAACTTTTTGAGTTAATATCATCACTGAAGTATAATGTGAATCGAATAAGAAAGAAAAATGATGAATTAGAAGAAGAGGCAACTGGGTATGGTTTTCATATTGTAGAACATGTTAGCCATTTATTAATTGATTTAACTCTAATTTTACTTGACTAAAACCTAGATACAAATTCATTTTATGTTTGCATTTTCATAATTAAATGAATTCTATTTTAAAATGTATTTCAGAAACTCACAGCACAACTTTTTAGACGTGTGTCATGGGGGTGGGAGTCAGCTGAGCTGCTGGGGCAAGGTGAAATTTTTTTTGAATGCCAAAATATTCTTTTTTTTTTTTTTTTTTTTTTTTGAGAAAAAGTCTGGCTTTGTTTCCCAGACTGGAGTACAATGGCGCGGTCTTGGCTCACTGCAACCTATGCCTCCAAGCAATTTTCCTGCCTCAGCCTCCTGAGTAGCTGGCATTACAGGCATGTGCCACCACACCCGGCTAATTTTTGTATTTTTATTAGAGACGGGGTTTTGCCAAGTTGGTCAGGCTGGTCTCGAATTCCTGACCTCGTGATCTGCCCGCCTCGGCCTCCCAAAGTGACATGAGCCACCATGCCCAGCCACTTATTCTTTAATGATTTTGAAAACAATGACCACGCCTTGGACATATAATGTCCAGTGCACTCTTCATTATCTGGTTTGAATTTTTATTTCTGAAGATATTTTTTGCTGTCTGTGGTCATTTTTTCTTCCTTTTGTAGTATCCTCTGCTGCATTCAAATTGTTTAAAGAAGACCTGTTTGTGTCATTCTTTAACATCAAATTTATCTTGATATGTAGCTTATATTTTGTTTCTGCTTTTTCTTTTAGATATAAAACGTGGAAATTTACTCATTGTACATGAGTACCTCTGTTGTATACATGAAGTATACATGTTATTAAACTTGTTTTACATAAATAAATTTCATATATATAAAAATATATGTATAACTTAAAGAAAAAGTAAAATGAACATTCATGTTTTGATCACAGATTTTTTTTAAAACAATGGAATCTGTCTTTGAAGCCCTGAACACAGCTACTTTTCTATTTATTTACTGAGCACTTAATTTGGTTTTCTGATTAGAATCAACATTTTTCTGTCATTGCTTTTCTCTACATGGTTTTGTATCTCTTTAATTTTGTTGACATTATGTCAGCAAAGATGTCTAGATCTCTTCTTCAAAGTCTTTAAATCGTCACACATCTCTCTGCCCCTTTCCTTTTTTCTAAAACTGCCTGTATCCTTTTTCTCCTCAACTCAGATATTAAAGATGTTTTCTTCTCTTTTTCTACATTGAATGATCTCCTTGATGCTTTTTGTGTGTACTTTTTTTTCTTCTGATAGACTGTGGTCAGTGGGTATCAAAATGTACTTTTGTGTCTTTTTAAATGTATGTGTTTTACTTTTTTATCTTGGTTACTCATCTCTGGGTTATGGCTTATATTTAGTAATACGTTATTTTACTTAGCATACCAACATGGATATCAGTAGTTTATTTACAAAAAGTGTATGGTTAGGCCAGGTGTGGTGGCTCACACCTGTAATCCCAGCACTTTGGGAGGCCAATGTGGGTGGATCATTTGAGGTCAAGAGTTCAAGACCAGTCTGACCAGTGAAACCCCGTCTCTACTAAAAATACAAAATGAGCCAGGCGTGGTGGTACACACCTGTAATCCCAGCCACTTGGGAGGCTGAGACAGGTGAATCACTTGAGTCCAGGAGGCAGAGGTTGCAGTGAGCTGAGACCACACCATTGCACTTTGGCCTGGGCAACAAGAGTGAAATTCCATCTCAAAACAAAACAAAAAACAAAACAAAAACACTGTATGGCTATAATATCACTTTACCTGCCATATATGCCATAAAATTGTTCTTCATATTATTTATCTAAGATTATAATTTCATATAGAATGCTTTCAAACTATGTTCAGTTGAAACTGAAAGTAACATAGTTTATAGATTTGTTTCTTTGATATGCCATAACAGATGTTTAAACAATTATTAAATATTTACTCTTAAAAATACTTGACTTACTAATTCTGTACATTTCTGCAGATATAAGAAACTCCTGGAAATGACAATAAATATGTTAAATGTATTTGGAAATGAAGACTTTGATTGCCATGGAGACTTAAAAACAGATCAACTGAAAATGGATATTCTGATTAAGAAGCTAAAACAGAAGGTAATTTAAAAAAATTATTTTATCTTAAGGTCTAGATTACATGTGTGAGACGTGCAGGTTTGTTATATAGGTAAACGTGTGTCATGTTGGTTTGCTGCACCTATCAATCCATCACCTAGATATTAAGCCCTGCAGGCATTAGCTATTGATCTTGATGCTCTCCCTCCTGATCCTAACAGGCCCCAGTGTTTGTTGTTCCCCTCCCCGAGTCCATGTGTTCTCATCATTCAGCTCCCACTTCTAAGTGAGAAGATGCAGTGTTTGTTTTTTTCTTCCTGCATTAGTTTGCTGAAGATATCAGCTTTGAGCTCATCCATATCCCTGCAAAAAGCATGATCTCATTCATTTTTATGGCTCCATAGTATTCCATGGTGTATATGTACCACATTTTCTTTATCCCGTCTATCACTGATGGACATCTGGGTTGATTCCATGGCTTTACTGTTGTGAATAGTGCTGCAATGAACATACAAATGCATGTATCTTTATAATAGAATAATTTATATTCCAACGTATGGTAATTTTAAATCAGTTTTGGTATTAAAAATCATGTAATTTTGGAAAATATTGATAATGGAAAAACCCAAATTCTGCCAAAATATGTTGAGAAAATAGAGGGTAAATATATCTTTTCAGACTTTAAATGCCTCAGGCTCTTAGTTAATCTTCCCCAGATCTGGGAAGACCTAGAAGGGGAGAGATTGGGCTACATTAATGAGGACCATTTCAATCTCTTGGCCCTGCAGCAGCCATTTCAAAATATGACAAAAAATATATTTGGGGGTAAAATATTTTGATTTCCTTCAGCTTCTTCTCTCTGTGATGCTGCACCAGAATCAGGTTAGAAAGGAAGCCACATTATAAGAGTTAATAAAACCCATCTGATGAGATTTGATAGTTTGAAGGGTGTGATTCCCAGACCCTTTAGATAGAAATTGGGGCCAAGGAAAACAAGGTCTTATTCCTCAATATAAATCTGTCAGTGCTTTAAGCAGTGAAAGATTTTTCATTTAATTTTACAGACTTGAAACTAATGAAAAGGATAGCTTTTAAAATATCAATCTCTTTTTCTATGAAAAGGACATGCTGTTGATTCTCTTAGGCCTTGAACCCTGGCCAGTGATCTGAAACCAAGCAGTACCTGTCTCCAGATCACTACTACCAAAATCACTAGTACCAAATTAATTTGGGGTGGGGGGTAACAGGTTTATTGAGAAATAATGAACACACCATGCAATTCACTCATTTAAAATATACAATTTATTAACTTCAGTATTTTCAGAGAGTTATGCAGTCATCATTACAATCAATTGTAGAACATTTTCATCACCCTAAAAACAAACCCCACATCATTTAGCTATCTTCACTAGTTTTCCCTTCCTCCCTCAGCCCTAGGTAACCACCCACCTTCTTTGTATAGATTTGCCTATAAGCCTCTGAAATGAAAAGCAAGTGGTCTACTGTGACTGGCTTATTTCACTTAGCATAATTTTCCATGCTGCATCTGTGCTGCAGCAGGTATTGATGCAGGGTTTTTGCTCCTTAGTTCAGCTCAATCTGGGTTCTTCTCTCATGACCAGGAAAAATTAAGCACACAGACACATTGAAGGGTGAGGAGGACAGAATTTATTAAGTGAAAGGAAAGCTCTCGGCAAAGAGGGGCGTCCTGCAAACAGGTTTCCACCTCACAATTGAATACCAGGAGCACAGGAGCTGAAGCGGCCAGGCTCCTGCTCTGCATAAGGCGTGAATTCCTGGTGACTCCACCCCATCCCCCCAGTGCTTGTGGGCCTCGGGTCTGCTGCCGGCATGTCCAGGCAAGACAAGTCCAGGTTCCCTTATCTGCACATAACGTCTGGTGTAAACACTTGTGAGGCTTGTTGGGGATTCTCCGGGGACCCTTCCTTATCTGCCTAGGCATTTTGCTGTCTCCTCCTAATACAGTATCAGTACTTAGTTTCTTCTTATTGCTGAGTGATATTCCATTGTATGGATACATCAAACAGTTTATTTATCCATTCACCAGGTGATGGACCTTTGGGTTCTTTCCCACCCAAAGGTGATGGACATTTTGGTTCTTTCCACTTTTCACTCTTATTAATAATGCTGCTGTAAACATTTATGTATGAGTTTTTGTGCTTGCATATGTTTTTGATTTTCTGGAGTATATACTCATGACTGGAATTTCTGGGTCATATGGTAACTTCATGCTTAACCTTTTGAGGAGCTGCCAGTTTGTTTTCCAAAGTGGCTGCACCACTTTACATCCCCAGCAGCATTGGATAAGGGCTTTAATTTCTTTACATTTTTCCTAACACTTATTTTCTCTTTTTTATTGAATAAAGGTTTCATCCTGTGGTGTGAAGTGATACCACACGTGGTTTTGATTTACTTTTTCCTAATGACTAATTACATTAAGCATCTATTAATGTGCTTATTATCCATCTTTATATCTTCTTTGCAAATATATCTATTCAAAATCTTTGCCCATTTTTTAAATTGGGTTATCTTGTTATTTATGAATTGCAAAGGTTCTTTATATATCCTACATATGTAAGTCCCTTATCAGATACTTGCTTTTCAAATACTTTCTTCTACTCAGTATCTTACCTTTTCACTTCTTGATACTGTCTTCTCAAGCACAGCAGTTTTCAATTTTGAAGTTCATTGAATCCATTTTTCCTTTGGAGTCATAGCTAAGAAAACACTGCCAAATGCAGTCACAAAGATTTATGCCAGGGTTTTCTTCGTACTTTATTTATTTTTTGCATGTGGATATCCAGTTGTTGCAGCACCATTTGTTGAAAAGACTATTCTTTTCCCATTCTGTTCTTTTGTTAACCTTGTATAAAATCAATTGACTGTAAATGTGCAGGTTTATTTGTAGATTATCAATTCTTAGTTTGTTTATATCTATTCTTATGCCAAGGCCAAATTGAATTTAATGAGAAGATTTTTTCAAGCATGTTGCATATTACCAGTTGTCTTATATCATAATAAAAATTAAATTTAGTGGAATATCTTTAACTTCACCTTTTGTGCCTCAAAGGAATCTCTGGCCAGCTTATACCTTACTTACTCTAAGACATGATGGCAAGTCAGGCTTACAAGACACTCTTTCTTTTTTTCTCTATTCAAACCTTTAGTCTCTTTTCCATTGCCTCCCTCTATAGTTATATTTTCAGTAAGTTTTCATCACAGGATCTGCTGATGTAGTCTAATATTTAGTGTATTATGTTTTGCTAACTCATTATAATTCATAGAATCTTCCATAGATGTTTACCATCCAGGAAGGAGAAGTCTGAGCTGCCAGCTTTCCTCAGTGGAAATCATGTGAAGTCATCATGTTGTAGTTCGCAGATCCTCTTTCCACCTGGTAGCTGGTTCTCTTGGGTAGCTCTGCATCTAATCCTTTACTTGGTGCAGATCTTGCATTCTCAGAAACCACAGTTCCCTGTATTGACCTCCTTTTACTGAAACAGAGATGCACAGCTCTGCTTTCTAGCTCAGTAGAGGATTCTTGGGATATAAAGTTTAACTCATTCCAAGAAAAAGTCTTAGGAGTGCAGCACTTCAAAATCAGGTAATGTTCAGGCAATTTATCAGAGACAAATAGTAGATTAGTATTTTGACTTTTGAAATTTCGGAGCCAAGTTGTGTGCTGTAGAGAAGCATTGTGGTATAATACAGAGATGGGATGGTCTTAACTTCTCCATACAAACAAGCTTGAAGTAAGATAAAGGAGAAATTGCATTTGATGTCTTAACACTCAAAGCACTCTATGTTTATTTTACTTCTGTGAAGACTAAAAATCACTTCATAAAGTTCTCCTTATTTCCTCATTGAGAAAAGGAAAATGAAAATTGAATACTAGATTGATTAATAAATACTCAAAGCTTATTCTTTTAGAATTTTCATTAACTGAAATCAGGCAAATGTCTGATTTTGGTTATCTAACCAAGTATTTCTAGTTGTTTTTCAAATCATACTTCTTCTTTCTTTGCAGTCTTATTTCCTAACTTGAGGGGAAATTGTAAGGAGACACCCTTGCCTTGTTATCAGAGTTCATAATTGAAGGGGGTTTTAGGAAATGTTCCTCCTCAGCAGCTTATGTCTCTCTCCTGGTTATCTACTGCTTCTCAATAATGTTTGCCATCAATAAATTAATCTCAGCATTTATTAGATCCTACTTTAAAGGAGACTCTTTTCTCTGCATAAGTTATGTTTCCTGTTGTCTCTTTTTAAAACTTATTTTTCTAACAATTATCCAGGGTTTTGTGGCTTAAAAGAAAAACATTTATTTTGTTCATGAACCTATGGTTTGAAAAAAGCTTAGCCAGGACAGGTCATCTCTGCTCCCCTCAGCTTCCCTAGGAATAGCTGATCAGTTGGGGAAATGGAATCCTCTGAAGCTTTGCTCACCCATGTGTTTGATGGTTGATGCTGGCCATTGGCTGGAACCTTGGTTGGAGCAGGCAGCATGCATATTGACACTGACACTCCCAGGCTGTCTCTCTGGCCTGATCTCACTCACAATCTGGGGGCTGAGTTCAAAGGGAAAGCAGTCTGAGATAGGGAAGCCACATGATATCCCTTTTACTGCATTCTATTCATTAGAAGGAAGTCAGTAAGGATTGCCCATATTCTGTTTTTTTAATGGGATAAATATAGCTTCTCTTTTGTTTTAATTGACATGTATATACATAATTTTGGCCAATAGAGTGATATTTTGATACATGTATATAGTGTGTAATGATCGAGCTAACTAGCACATTTACTACTTCAACCATTTTTCATTTTTTGAATTGTGAACATTCAAAATCTTCTGCCTTTTTAAAAATATACAATAAATCATAGTTAACCATATTCACCCTACAATGCCACAGAACACCAGAACTCATTCCTCTTATCTAACTGTAATTCGGTATCCATTAACCATCCTCCCCTCCCCTACCTCTGTGAGCTTTTTTGTTGTTGTTAAGAGACAGGGCCTTGCTAGTCCAGTCTGGGCTCTGGGCATCTGTAGTCACCCAGACTAGAGACAGTGGCTTGATCATAGCTCACTGCAGCCTCAAACTCTTGGGCTCATGTGATCCTCTGACCTCACCCTCCTGAGCAGCTAGGATTATGGGCATGCACCATTGCATCTGTCTGATTTTTGACTTTGTAGAGCTATCTACCTATGTTGTCCAGGGTGCTCTGGAACTTTGGCCTCAAGTGATTCTCCTGCCTTGGTCTTTCAAAGTGCTAGGAAATTACAGGCAATAGCCATGTTGCCCAGCCCTCAGTTTTTCTTTAGCTCCCACATATGAGTGAGAATGTGCAGTGTTTATCTTTCTGTGTCTGCACTTAACATACCATCCCTCAGACTGATCCACATGGCCACGAATAACAGGATTGAATTCCTTTATACGGTGAATAGTATTCTACTGTGTTTGTGTGCCACAGTTTTTTGTCCATTCATTTGGTTATGGACATGCAGGTTGATTCCATACATCAGCTATTGTGAATAGTGCTACAATAAACATACGAGTACAGGTATCTTTTTGATCTATTGTTTTCTTTTCTATTGCCTGAATACCCAATAGTGGGTTTGCCGGATCCCTTGGCAGTCCCATAATTAGCTTTTTGAGAAAACCTCATGTTGTTTTCTATAGTGGCTGCACTAATTTACCTTCCCACCAACAGCATGTTAGAGTTTACTGTTCTCTGGAACCTCACCAGCATATGTTATTTTTTTGTCTTTTCAATGATAGCAATTTATTCAAATTGAAGCAAGATTGTATCACATTGAAGATTTGATTTTTATTTCCCTGAGGATTAGTGATACTGAGCGTTTTTAAATTTATTTATTGGCTATTTGTATTTCTTTTTTCTAAAGAAAAGTATAGTTAGATATTTTGCCCAATTTTGAACCCAGATTTTTTTTTACTGTCAAGTTTTTTGAGTTTCTTGTATATTTTGGATACTAGTCCCTTATTAGATGAATAGTTGACAATATTTTCTCCCATTCCACTGGTTTTCTCTTCACTCAGTTTGCTGGGCAGAAGCTCTTTATCTTAATGTAATACCATTTGTCTATCATTTGGTTTTTGCCTATGCTTCTGATGTCTTACCCATAAAAATCTTTGTGCAGACTAATGTCCTCAAGCATTTTTCCTCCATTTACTTAGAGTGGTTTCATAATTTTAGGCCTTAAATGTCAGTCTTCAATCAATTCTGAGTTTATTTCATTATGTGCTGTTACATAGGAAGCTAGTATCATTCTTCTCCATATGGATATTTAGTTTTCCCAGTGCCATTCATTTGAAGAGACTGTCCTTTCCCCAGTGTATGTTCTTGGCACCTTTGTCCAAAATCAGTTGGCTGTAAATATGTGGATTTATTTCTGGGTGTGTATTCTATGGCCTTTACCCCAAGAATCATTACTTCGTAAAATGCAATTCAAATTAGCATGAAACATTTGCAGTTTAAGGAAAGGCTTATGGCATCAGAATCCTTATTTACAGGATTCATTATTTTGTGTTTTTTTGAGATATGGTCTTTGTCTGTCATCCAGGCAGAAGTGCGGTGATGTGGTCATAATTCACTGCAGCCCTGAACTCTGGGTACAAGCCATCCTTTTGCCTCAGTCTCCCAACTAGCTGGGTCTAGAGGCATGAGCCACCATGCCCAGCTAATTTTAAAAAAAAAGTTTGTAGACATGGGGGTCTCACTATGTTGCTCTGGCTGATCTCAAATTCTGGCCTCAAGTGATCATTCTGGCACAGGC
Organism: Homo sapiens; assembly: GCF_000001405.40. NCBI lineage: Eukaryota > Metazoa > Chordata > Mammalia > Primates > Hominidae > Homo > Homo sapiens. The sequence goes on from NC_000009.12 coordinate 67,916,894, forward strand.
TTTTAAATTGCTACAATTACAGGAATGAGCCACCATGCCTAGTATAGAGTGTTATATTATTTTCAAAGTCTTATTCTGAGAGCCATTTATTGACTTTGGCCTAAATAACTCAATATGATATCTCTGAAACTTTTTTTTGACATATTATGGGGAATGATAATGAGGGAAGGTGGTTAGACACTTTTTACTAAGAGATAACTTAGTGCCATCTAAGGAGGAACAAAAATGAATTATCAGAAAAATAAAAGTAAGATGAAGTGCAAAAGTTCTGTGGCAAAGATGATGATAGCAAATAATATATTTTTGTGACTCATGGTAGCTTTAACTTTGTTCTTAAAATTCTGAGTAATTTAAGGGTTCACATTTGAAGAATCCACTGCATTACAGATAACATTTTATTGCAAGTAAATGTATTTCAAAATTTGCTATTGGTTTTGTATTAGATTATTCTCAGCCTACTTCATTATCAAGCTATATTATTTTATTCATGCAGTTTGATGATCTTACGGCAGAGAAGGAAGCTTTATCTTCAAAATGTGTCAATTTGGCTAAAGACAATCAAGTTCTTCAACAGGAGTTTTTATCTATGAAAAAAGTACAACAGCAATGTGAGAAACTTGAGGAGGATAAAAAGATGTTGAAAGAAGAAATATTAAATCTTAAGACACATATGGAAAACAATAGGGTAGAACTTAGTAAACTACAAGAATATAAATTGGAGCTAGATGAAAAGGCAATGCAGGCAGTAGAAAAATTAGAAGAAATCCATTTACAGGTTAGTTTTTTAAATCAGGTAAGTTTATCTGTAATGTGCTTTCATTTATTTCACCGCAGATTATATTTTGGATATGTATATATTATGTTTCCTCTGCCTCTCTTGTAGCAATTTGCTTTGTAGAGTTCTAGAAAAAAAAATGGCATCTGTTTTTTCTTTTAAATATTTACATTTCCATTATTATTATAACAAAATCAATCTTTCAGAGTAATGATTCTCACTGTGGAGTCATTTGATGATTAAGATCAGTTGGCATAAGAAACAATTGTGATTTCAAAATTATGTGATACTTTTGAATTGGTCTTAAGCTACATTGTTCATTAATCACTTTTTAAAATTATGAATGGATTCTATTACTTTTTATATGACCAGATTACATTAATACTAACATAATTATGATTTCAAATTTTTATAAATCGACAATTCTGAATTCAGTTATTAGTTTTGATCTTGCTGATAAATATTTTAAGCTTCAGCCTCTTTTACTAACATATTCACAATTGCTCTTTGAATCACTGACTCAAAATGAAAGGCAACAAACATATAATAATTAGGTTATAATTGTTTTAAAAGTGTATTCTTTTCCTTTGTTTTAGGAACAAGCACAATATGAAAAACAATTAGAGCAGTTAAGCAAGGATAATATGGCTTCACTAAATAAAAAGGAACTCACACTTAAAGATGTGGAATGTAAATTCTCAGAAATGAAAACTGCTTATGAAGAGGTTACAACCGAATTAGAAGAATATAAGGAAGCCTTTGCAGCAGCATTGAAAGCTAACAATTCCATGTCAAAAAAATTAACAAAGTAAGTCAAAACATACACTCATAGAAAATGAATTAAGCTCATTAATTTGTTTTGAAAGCATAATTTTTAGTGAGATGGCTTCAGGAGATTAGTAGGAAGTGAATGCTAATCTAATAATGTAATTTCAGAAAATAATGTTAGTAAATAATCTTACCTTTAAAATGTTAGTCAAGGATAGTTTCTGTCCCATTTCTTTCTCTCTCTTTTTTTTTTTTTGCTTTTGTATGGCTTTTTTCCCCTGAAAAGTCTCATGTAGTTAACCTGATCTGTTAGTTTTTGTCACTAAGTACTTTCGAAGCTTTATAATTAATAATGTGATCTTGTTATAAAATTGCTTGTCAGAATTTTCCTAAATAGAAATATTAATGAGTTTAATTTATTTTTTGGTAGATCACAACCTAAACCCAAAGTTTCAAGTGGTACTGCTACTCCGGGCACAATCATTTTTGATTGTGATCTTTAGTATTATCACTAGAGGGTGCCTCAAGAAAGACTATTTGTGTAACATTTTCAAGATGTTACAGAAAGGCATCCTTGTGAAATAGGGAATAATTATCAAGGAATTTAAAGAAGTGTAATTCACAAAGTGGTTAAAACATAACTAGAAATACCATTTGACCCAGCAATCCCATTACTGGGTGTATACCCAAAGGATTATAAACCATGCTGCTATAAAGACACATGCACACGTATGTTTATTGCAGCACTATTCACAATAGCAAAGACTTGGAAGCAACACAAATATCCAACAATGATAGACTGGATTAAGGAAATGTGGCACATATACACCATGGAATACTATGCAGCCATAACAAATAATGAGTTCATGTCCTTTGTAGGGACATGGATGGAGCTGGAAACCATCATTCTCAGCAAACTATCGCAAGGACAAAAAACCAAACACTGTATGTTCTCACTCATAGGTGGGAATTGAACAATGAGAACACATGGACACAGGAAGGGGGGAACATCACACACCGGGGCCTGTCGTGGGGTGGGGGGATGGGAGAGGGATAACATTTGGAGATATACCTAATGTTAAATGATGAGTTACTGGGTGCAGCACATCAACATGGCACAGGTATACATATGTAACTAACCTGCACGTTGTGCACATGTACCCTAAAACTTAAAGTATAAAAAAAAAAAAACTTGTTCAGCCTGAAGCGGTGTGTGGAAGGCAGAAGGAAAAAGCCCCACCTCCAGTGCCTTGGTCACAGTGCTGGGGGCTAATTGCCTTCAGACATGCTTTAGTTCTTTTTGATCACCAACCAGCCAATCTAGTTCTCCCCCAGGAGTTGTTGTTCTGAATTATTCCTCAGTGCCAAATGCTTAATTGTTCCTAGATAATGGGTGAAATGCACAAGGGTGAAACCTAAAATTTGTTTGCTAAACACAAGTATTCCTAAATTTTTTTGTTGTTGTTCATTTTAGTTTTCTTAACCTACATTAAGGAGTACAACATGATGTTTTGATACAATTATTTCAAGTGAAGTGGTTCTTATAATCAAGCAAATCAACATATTCTTTTCTCACATTGTTACCCTTTAAATATGAGTATTTCTAATGGAATCTTCAGAATCTCACAAGTAGAGCCCTTTTAGAAGGCAGCAAGTGTTACCTGTCGAGCCATATATCACTGATAGCCATTTCTCTTCCCTGTCTACTTTGTTTGTACTGCTTGTTCAGTATAAATCACCTTAGAAACACAGGTGCTTCTTTAGAATGATTTTAAAATTATACTTGCTTACAACAGGTATGCTCTCACACATCTTCAGTGTGAAAACACTGTTTAGTGGATAATTTGGTTTGCTCTCAGGGCAAGTTTTTAAAAACTGCAAGTCATTAAGAATCATTAGAGGAAAAATGAAATACTAAGCGTGTGTCTTTGCTATCTTTACAGATCAAATAAGAAAATAGCAGTGATCAGCATGAAGCTCCTTATGGAGAAAGAGCAGATGAAATATTTTCTCAGTGCTCTTCCTACAAGGCGAGACCCAGAGTCACCTTGTGTTGAAAATCTTACTAGTATAGGACTCAACAGAAAATATATTCCCCAAACACCCATAAGAATTC